>NC_000002.12:26451619-26604369 GCF_000001405.40 Homo sapiens | reverse complement strand
CTTGCTCTGTCACCCAGGCTGGAGTGCAGTGGCATGATCATAGCTCACTGCAGCTTCGTTCTCCTGAGCTCAAGCAATCTTCTTGCCTCAGCCTCCCAGGTGGCTGGGACTGCAGGCGTGCACCACCATGCCCAGGTAATTTTTTTATTTTTAGTAGAGACAGGGTCTTGCTAAACTGCCCAGACTGGTCTCGAACTCCTGGGCTCAAGCGATCCTCCTGCCTCTGCCTCCCAAAGTGTTGGGATTCCAGGCATGAACCACCATGTCCAGCTCTGATTTTTCTTCTTATTACTGCTTTTTAGCAGTTTGATTATGCTGTGCATTGATGTAGTTTTCTTCATATTTCTTTCTTTTTTTTTTTTTTTTTAAGGTATGCTCTTGCTCTGTTGCCCAGGCTGGAGTGCAGTGGCACAATCTTGGCTCATTGCAATCTCTGCCTCCTGGGCTCAAGTGATCCTCCCACCTCAGTCTCCTGAAGAGCTATGACTACAGGCGCACACCACCACACCTGGTAAATTTTTGTATTTTTTTAAAATAGAGATAGGGTTTTTGCCATGTTGCCCAGGCTGGTCTTGAACTCCTGGGCTCAAGTGATCTGCCTGCCTCAGCCTCCGAAAGTGCTGGGATTACAGGCATAAGCATGGGTCTGTTTTCTTTAGCTGATTTTTCTACTGGTTGTGGGTCTTATTTTCCTTCTTTTTTTGCATGATGGATAATTTTTTACTGGATGCTAAACACTGTAAATTTTGTATGGTTAGGTGTTTAATTTTGTTGCATTCATTTAAATGTTACTGAGTTTTGTTCTTGGATGCTGTTTTGTTACTGAAATCATTGATATTTTCAAGTCCAGCTTTTAAGATTTAGTAAGACAAGACTGTGTACCTTTCACCCTGTATTCACATCAGGGAAAGCTGGGTGAAAGGTATACAGGACCTGTATACCTATTATATTTTTATATAGGTATTTTTATATTTACTTTATTTTTCAAAACTAAGAAATAAAAATTAGTGCTTGCATTGTATTAATGCAATACAAACTTTGCTCGGCTTGCACTAGTTTTCCACTCATGTTTTTTGATCTGTGTCAGGATCCCCTCCAGGGTCCCACCTTCCATTTAGTCATTGCGTGTTTTTCGTTCCTCTGATCTGTGATAGTTTCTCAGTCTCGCTTTTCCATGATTTTTTGGAGAGCACAGACCAGGTGTTTTTGTAGAACATCTTTCAACTTGGGTCTGTCAGATGTTTTCTCATAATTAGACAGAAGTAATGGATTTGTGCAAATACCACAGAAGTGAACCCCCCCACCCCACCCCGTTTTTTAGAGACAGGGTCTTGCTCTATCGCCCATGCCACAGTGGAGCGATCATAGATCACTGCAGCCTTGGACTTCTGGGCTCAAGTGATCTTCCCCTTTTACCCTCCCGAGTAGCTAGGACTACAGGCACAGAACACCACACCAGCTTATTTTAATTTTTTAGAGATGGGATCTCACTATGTTGCTTAGGCTGATTTCGAATGCCTGTCCTCAAGTGAGCCTCCCGCCTCAGCCACCCAAGCTCGAGATTACAGGCGTGAGCCACTGCACCTGGCCTGAACCGCCCTTCTCATTGCATCATACCAGGGGATACCTGACATCAACATGACCTATTACTGGTGATATTAACCTTGATCATTTGGTGAGGATGGTATTTCTAAGTTTCTCCACTGTAAAGTTATTTGGTAGACAGAAGCTAGAAAATATAGGTATGTATACTAACCCATGTATACTACACATCAATATTTATTTTGTATCTATCCATCTGTACATGTAGTAAAATACCCATTAGTTCATATTGATGTCTCTGACTAATCCAGTACCATATCTAGCCTTCCCTCTTGCTTCTTTATAACTTATTTTATCTTACTTATAACTTGTTATTTATTTATGTATTTGTTCACTCTTTGTATACTTGTGGTAAGAATTGCTAATCCATAACCCTGTGAGAATCAAATTGACTCCCTAGAATACACTCCCTAGAATACTCCCTGGAATGACTCCCTAGAATACTCCCTAGAAGTTTATTTATATTATTTTGGTCTTTAGACTACGTACCTGGTCAAACACCACCTTTCAAAGTTACTTGGTCACTTCCTCTTCTTCCACTCCTTTCAGGAAGGTTTTGTCATGCATTTGTAATACAGTTGGTTTCATTTGCCATGACCTGTATTCCATCCTGGATTCTCTATCATCCCATATTGTCTTTGATTTGCATCCAGTAAAGTTCACTCTGTGGTGTACAGTTCTATGGGTTTCCAGAAATGCATAAAGGCATGGCTTCTATCTGCACCACAGCACCCTAGAGAACAGTTCCATCACCCCCAAAATTTCCTTTGTAGTGAACTCATTCCCCCTCCCACAACCACTGACAGCTATGATCTGTTTTCCAGCCCTATGGTTTTACATTTTCTGGGATGGACTCATACAATATGTAGCCCTTTGTGTCTGACTTCTTTTATTTAGCAAAATGCATTGAAGAATCATCCACGTTGTTTCATTAATCAATGGTTCTTCATTTTTATTGCTGAGTAGTATTCCATTGCATGAATGCACCATGGTTTGTTTATCCATTCACCTGTGGAAGTACCTAGTGATTATTATGGCTTGCCTTTTCATTGTCTTAATTATGTATTTTGAGCAATGTAATTTGAAAATTTTTAATATACTCCAATTTATGAGTCTTCTCCTATGGTTTGTGCTTTTGTATATTGTTAAACAGTCTTTGCCCCCGAGATTATGAAGATATCCTCCTGTGATAGTTACCTAATGTTTTATTTTAGTCCTACATATTAGATCTATGATCAGTCTGGATTTGATTTTTGTGTATGGTGTGAGGTAGGATTATAAAGATTCATTTTTTCCCCATATGAATGTCCACTAAACCCAACATCACTTATGGAAAAGACTGTCCCTTCCCCCACAGCATTGCCATGTTATCTTTGTCATAAATCAGGTAGCCATATATGTGTGGGTCTGTTTCTGGAGTCTCCATTATGGCCATTGATCTATTTGTCTATCCTTGAACAAATACCATACCACATTAATTACTAAAGGCTTAGCATGCATATATATATATATATATATATATATATATATATATATTTTTTTTTTTTTTTGACATGGTCTCACTCTGTCACTCAGGCTGGAGTGCAGTGGCACAATCATGGCATGCTGCAGCCTCAGCCTCCTAGGCTCATTGATCCTTGTACCTCAGCCTCCCAAGTACCTGGAACTACAGGCGTGCAAGACCATACCTGGCCAATTTTTAATTTTTTTTGTAGAGACAGGGTCTCATTATGTTGCCTAGTCTGGTCTCAGACTCTGGACTGAAGCAATCCTCACCCTTTAGCCTCCCAAAGTGCTGGTGTGAGCCACCGCTCCCAGCCTAGGTCTTGATATCTAGTGGTATAAGTCCTCCAGCTTTGTTGTTCTTTAGGATTAACTTGGCTGTTCTTCACCCCTGCATTTCCACGTAAACTTTAGAATTGGCTTGTCAAGTCCTGCAAAATGGACTGGCTGGAAAACTTTAACTAGAACTGCATTAACTTTATGGATCAATTTGGAAAGAATCAACATTAATAATATTGAGCCTTCTAACCCATAAGTATATCTGAGGGGAGTTTTAAAAGGCACTAAAATACAAAAGGTTTTGTTACACCCTTCTCCCAGGACATGGGCTCTGCTCACCTAACCTTACACAGCCATGAGGCACTTTTTGGGCAGTGCCTTTCTGGGTGAGAGGGTGCTTCAGGTAAACTGAGGACTCCACTCAAGACTGAGGAAGGACTGACCTCTTCTATACCACTCTAACAGACACCTTCATCTACCTCTTTCTTTGACAAGTGCTTTACATCTGTGTAAAATGTTCAAAATATAAACATTAATCATATCATTTTATTTCTTTATTTGTTTATTTATTTATTTATTTTTGAGTCAGAGTCTTGCTCTGTCACCCAAGCTGGAGTGCAGTGGCACGATCTCGGCTCACTGCAACCTCTGCCTCCCGAGTTCAAGCAATTCTTCTGCCTCAGCCTCCGAGTAGCTGGGATTACAGGCGCTCACCACCACGCCTGGCTAATTTTTGTATTTTTTAGTAGAGACGGGTTTCGCCACATTGACCAGTCTGGTCTTGAACTCCTGACCTCAGGTGATCTGCCTGCCTTGGCCTCTCAAAGTGCTGGGATTACAGGAGTGAGCCACCATGCCTAGCAGCCACTGCGCCCAGTCAATAAACATTAATCATATCTTTTTTTTTTTTTTTTGAGACAGAGTCTCGCTCTGTCACCAGGCTGGAGTGCAGTGGCGTGATCTTGGTTCACTGCAACCTCTGCCTCCTGGGTTCAAACGATTCTCTTGCCTCAGCCTCCTGAGTAGCTGGGACTACAGGTGCACGCCACCATGTCCAGCTAATTTTTGTATTTTTAGTAGAGACAGGATTTCACCATGTTGGCCAGAATGGTCTTGATCTCCTGACCTCGTGATCCACCCACCTCTGCCTTCCAAAGTGCTCGGATTACAGGTGTGAGCCACCATGCCCGGCCAATCATATTATTTTAATAAGAGTGGGTAGCAGATACAATTCACAAAATAAAGTATGATTAGAAAATAAAAACACTAAATGAAGTCTAAATAGAAAAAGAAAACAAAAACACTAGTAATTAAGAAAATTTAGAGATGAGAAATTTTACATAAATTAATACTGTTTGATTTTTTTAATGAGCTCTTGAAAGTCCAAGTGCATCAATGACATCATCATTGAGTCACTAGCGTATTTTTGTGTGAATTTTTTCCAGCAACTGTAAAAAGCTTTTTTTGACTAGGCGCTAGTTGGAGAAATGGTGAGGAGATATTTTTAAGCTAGGTCCAAATATTTTTCCTCTGACTTTCATCTTCAAATCAAATCTCTTGTTCAATAACTTTAAGAAGATCTTTAAAAAAAGAAAACTTTTAGTTTTTTTGGCAGGGACTGCAATCTTTTTATTGTCGATAAACTGTAGTTTCTATTTCCAAAAAAACTCCCAGAATTTGGGGTTTATTTTCATCTACTTTAGTTTCATCACGTATAAATGGAGATCATACACTGAGTTACCTGTATAAATTGCTGTACTGACATGTTTGTATTCCCTTTGTTCAAAACGCCCTCAAACCAGGGTACATGTTATTCTTGAAATGGAAGCATTGCTTTGTCAACTGTCACTTCCTTCCTCCTCTGGAGGATTGAAGACTTCTAAAAAAGTGTGAAATTTCATACAGATGATAACTCTCTGGATAGGTCCCCAAATTTATTCGTTCAGATTTCAGACTATTAAAGTTATAGCATCAAAAATCTGGAATCCAGTAAACTGGACCTGTGATCTCTAATGAGGCTTGCTCTTTCAGCTTCCCCTTCTTGGCTGTTTTGTCTGCCTGGGGCTGGACTGAACCAGATCCGAGGACACCGGCTGAGCTGGCCTTTAGCTCAGGATGGAGAGCAGGGAGGGGCATGAGGCTGCCCCACCAGGGCCCCTAGAAACTCTCCCGCAGCACTATCGGTGCCCCTTTGACTGGAGCTGCTCTGTCTCAGGGGGGCTCATAACCTGAACTATCCCTTGAGACAGGGACCCTGGGAGAGAAGGAAGCTGCACCTTGTTGGACCAGAGACAGCCCTGGGACACTCTCCTGGCAGGTGCCTGCCAGGCCTTACAGCGAACTATACTAGCCACTCCTGGGTCCCCAGGACCCAATCGCAGCTCTGGTGAGCTCGGCCCTAGCCCTGCGGCCTGACATCTGCCCTGCCATCCTCTCAGGGACAGTGTCCCCTGCTCCATACTCGGATTCCTCACTGTTTCCCAAGCCCAGTTGCTCCGTGTCAGCTCCATCTTCTTTGACCTTCTCTCTTCTGCAGCCTCTGGTCCCGTGGCCCCCTCCCGTGCCTCTCACTTTCATAGTCACAGAGTCACAGAGTCATTTTTAGCCGGCTGCTGAGTTCTCCTGGGCCATGAGCCATTTCTTTAACTTCAATCTAGATTCTGTTTTTGCACTTTTTTTTTTTTTTGAGATGGAGTCTCCCTCTGTCACCCAGGCTGGAGTGCACTGTCGTGATCTCAGCTCACTGCAACCTCCGCCTCCTGGGTTCAAGTGATGCTCCTGCCTCAGTCTCTCGAGTAGCTGGGACTGCAGGCACGCACCATCACGCCCTACTAATTTTTGTATTTTTAGTTGAGATGGGGTTTCGTCATGTTGGCCAGGCTGGTCTCGAACTCCTGACCTCAGGAGTTCCGTCAGTCTCGGCCTGCCAAAGTGTTGGTATTACAGGCGTGAGCCACCGTGCCCGGCCAAAAAATGTTTTTTATTAAAGTAAGAATTTTAGAGGGATCCATTTCCAAGGTTTTCTATATTTTAATGGCCACTGCTTGGCCTTTGCTTTTTTTTTTTTGGCACCAGGCACCTTAGTGGAAATAGGGCAGGACAGGCTCAGGAGTCCTGGGTCTCAGGCCGGCTCTCCCACTTGCTGGCTGAGTCCCTCCCCTTCCCCAGGCCTCATTTCCACATCCGTGAGATGAGCAGGTTAGCCTAGATCACAAATCCCCCGCAATAATATGAAAAAATGAGAAACATGTACTCATCATATGTATATATTCATTTATAAACTGTATACATTTACTACTATACTAATCTGATATAATATCAAAATAAAAAAATTTAAGGACAAGCTAAAAACTACATAAAATATTTAACAAACAATTTTCCCTTTAATGGATATAGTAAGATTTCTTCCTTACACTATGCTATTGTTTACATATAGCTAATAATATTGTAAGGGAAAGCAATGTGGTTGGATATGCTTCATTATTCTTTGAAATCTTGCTTTAAGATTGAGCTAGAGCCATTCAGAGGTGTGGTTCTAGTTCAGTTTTTTTTTTTTTTTAATAGCTGTCGTAACTGATCCAAAGAGAGGAAATGTGTCATGGGCTATATGTCTTAAATCACGGCACTCATTTTCAACCCCATTCACCAATTAAAAGCTTTCAATTGAAATTAAGCTAGTAATTGTCTGTCTTCCCTTACATCAGTCAGTGGCTCTTACACTAAGTGGAAAGTATTATATTTTTATATTTTTAACAAATGGATTCAAAATCCACTGACATTCTTTATTTGGACAATATCCAAACAGGTCAGAAGAGTCTGTTTCTATATTTCCAGGTATGTAATATAAGCATTTCTATAGGTGATACACGTTTTTAACCACAAAAAATCCCATTTTAAAAATATTCTCTTCAAAGCATGAGTTTCTTTAGAAAAGCAATAACGCTAAAATGAGTCACCTTTACCTTGAAAAGTCAAATGAAATTGAGTTCATTTTTTGGTGGATATTTGCTAGGTAGCACACTGCCAATAGCTACTTGTCATCATGGAAAGGTCAGCAAATTTGGAACACTTGTCTTTTTGTGCCAGGAAAACATATAACTCATCTTTAAGTTTGATAGCTCTTTTAAGAACTCTTCCAAGAGCTAAGCAGTAAACCTCCATGTGGTTCAGAAGATTTTCATACTTACTTTCCTTCTAATTACAAATCACTGTATAAGCTTTACTTTTTTTTTTTTTTTTAGATGCAGTTTTGCTCTTTTTGCCCAGGCTGGAGGGCAATGGCGCAATCTCGGCTCACTGCAGCCCCTGCCTCCCAGGTTCAAGCGATTCTCCTGCCTCAGCCTCCCGAGTAGCTGGGATTACAGGCATGCGCGACCACGCCCGGCTAATTTTTTTTGTATTGTTAGTAGAGACGGGGTTTCACCATTTTGGCCAGGCTGGTCTTGAACTCCTGACCTCAGGTGATCCACCTGCCTCGGCCACCCAAAGTGCTGGGATTACAAGCTTGAGCCACCGTGCCTGGCCAAGTTTTACTATATTTTAACTCTTTTTTAAAAAAGAACCATTTCAATGCCTTCTGCTGTACTTTAGTTATTTCTGGGCTTACCTTCCTGACTGCAGTACCCGGCAGGAAATCCTGCAGGGAAGTCATTTGGCATGTGTTACCATCCTGCATCCTCACCCCAGAATTCTTTTCCATCCTGGAGCAGCCACCCCCCTCGATGAGTACCTTCACTTTTCCCCAGCAATGGTGTTTTTATTAAAGACATTCATTTACTATTCAGTCCATGTCTCTGTTTCCTTTCGTGGCTTGCAGAAATGTGGTTTTTCACATACAGAATCTAGGAAAACCACATTAGAAAATCTATACCTTTATTTAACTATTTAGCAAAGCTTTCACAGTGTGAAATTTGTTCAAATACTTATTTCTGTATATCTTAGGCAATATTTTCTCTGCATCTTCCAACGTGCTCACATGTTGTGTCATAGGTACTATTCGTGCTACCAGCAGCTACCACATCAACTGTCCTGTTTTCAGTCTCTATAAGACATGGTTTGTGTGTGTGTGTGTGTGTGTGTGTGTGTGTGCGCGCAGATAAGTCATGTGACATGGATCTAAGGAGTGTATTGGTGTCCTGGCAACCACCTCCCTCCCATCACTACTAGCAAAGACAAGGGGAGGTCCCCAGGGAAAAGAAGCTTGGTATCTCATTCCCTGGCTGGCTATGCGCTTGGGCAGTGAGCCTGTTGGCTTGCCTTGCACCCGCCTGAGCACAGGACAAGAAAATTGATGCAGGACTTCTTGTTATTTCTGCCTGGATGCTCATGATTTCTACCTCATAGAGAAGGACTCGTATTTAGAGTAGGAGAGGTTTCAGCTCTGACAATCTCTTGTTCATTTGCATTTGCATTATAACCATTATCTTCAATTGTGGCATCCTTGCAGGAATCTTGTGAAGTCACATATCCAACTGCAAGATTCATCCCCGGCACCCCATCATGCCCAGGGTCCTGGCTCAGTGAGCCACCATCTACTCCGATATTTACATTGTGGCTGTTGTCTTCATCTCAAACCCAGGACACAGTGTTTGTAATAGATGAGAGAGACCCAGGGAGACACAGCCCCGACCCTGATAGACCTCCTCCCTGCTCCTCCTGTCGCCCACAGGTCAACCCTTTCAGAGACCGTATCTGCAGAGTGTTCTCCCACAAAGGCATGTTCTCCTTTGAGGATGTGCTGGGCATGGCATCTGTGTTCAGCGAGCAGGCCTGCCCAAGCCTGAAGATTGAGTATGCCTTTCGCATCTATGGTAGGTGCTGTGGGGGACTGAGGGGTGAGGGGTGGAAAGGCCATAGAGAACATACCGTATCTGGACTCCATCATCAGTTCATTGATGGATGGCATTAACTGGGGTGTGCTTGGGTATCTGTGGGTCTGTGTCATATTTTGCATGTACCATGGAATAAAAAAAAAAGATTGAGAATGACAGCATCAATGGACAGACTCCCCTCGGTGTCATCAGAGGGCAATGGGGTCATTGGCGTTGATATTTGCTGGTAGTGTGTGGTGTGTGGGCAGGCGAGAGAGAGAGAGAATCACATATGCATGTAAAGGATTTATGCTTATTTGGCAGAAGGAGCGTTGGATGGGAAGTTAAGAAAATTTGAACAATCTTGGACAAATCGTTTCACCTTTCTGGGGCTCAGTTTTCTCATCTGTAAAATGAGGGGATAGGGAGAGATAATCTCTGAGGCACTTTGACATTTTTTGGTCTCTGTCTCTGTCTCGGGTAGTCACAAGACTCTGCTGAAGTTCTGCTCTTCACCAGGCAAATGTCTGCTTAGCACAGCTGGGATGCAAGGGAATTCTCAAAAGGAATCAAAAGGAAAGAAAGAAGTCTTAAGATGCTTTCAAACAAACCAGGTGCAAGTCTTCAGTGCATCCTGATAACTTTTTGGCCCCAAAGGACTTGCACATTTAGACTTGCTCATTCGCATCTCACGTTCCTTCCTTTCCTGCCAGCTCCTCCCCAGTCTCCACATGGTGGACTCCATCTCATTTCTGCCTCACCCAAGTGGGATGTGGATAGAAGACAGTAGAAGAGCTTTAAGCCAGAGGGACCTATGAGGCCTCAGTTTTTTCATCTGTAAAAAGGACTTAATATTTTTTATCTCATATGTCCTCAGGTTCAGCATTTGGTAAGCACACATGAAATCACAGAGTCCCCTCCTGAGAATGGCTGAGTAAACTCCTATCATAGGTCACTCCTGCAGATAGCAACTATAAAACTCTACATATAAAAATCAACTAGCTGATGGCATTGGAAAGCTACCAAAAGCGAGATGTGTTCTAGAGAGATCTGATGCCTGGAAGAAGGAAACGGTAGTGGATGGGTTTTCCTTCACCCACTTTTTTTATTTTTAACTTTTTTATCCTGAAGGTAGGCTTCAGTGAGTGGAAACACTGGACTCAGGCAGGCTGATGGAAACACTGGATTCTTTCTGACTTGAAAAGCCAGAGAGTTTGGGGCACACACAGCCCCTACAAAGTGAGGGAGAGCCTATGAAAGAGAAAGGGAGTCCAAATGTTGTGTGTAAACTACGCCCATATCTCTTTCTGACCTCTACACCACATACACGAGGGCAAACTCAAAGCAGCTCAGCTAAGGATAAAAGAACTAAACTGAGATTTGAGCTGCCACCACATTTTAACCAGATCCATGAGTGACAGGGTTTGCACTTTGAGTCGAAATCAATTGCCTGCTAAAACCAAAAATTCAGCAATCTTTGGAGAAATACAGAGTGTCTACAACAAAACATTTATAATATCCAAGAAGCTATTCAAAATTGTACACAATGTACAAAAATTTGTTTTCATTGATGAATTCTCAAGAATGGAGACTGACTGACATGACCTAGATGTTGGAATTAGCTAATAAAGATTTAAAATTAGCTATTATAACTGTATTAGTCAGGATTCTGCAGAGAAACAGAACCAATAGGCTATTTATATGTGTATATGTATGTGAGTGTATGTGTGGGTATATATAGTGTGTATATATATGTGTGTGTATATATGTGTGTGTATATATGTGTGTGTGTATATGTGTGCGTGTGTATATATGTATATGTATATATGTATATATACACACACACACATATACACACACACACACACATATCTCTACATATATATCTAGAAAGAGAGAGAGATTTATTCTAGGAACTGGCTCATGTGATTATGGAGGCTGAGGAGTCCCATCATCTGCTGTCTGCAAGCTGGAAAGCTAGGAAAGGCGGTAGCATAATTCATTCTGAAAGTCCAAGAACCAGGAGCATCAATGTCTGTGGATGGGAGAAGACGGATGTCTCAGCTCAGAGAGTACAAATTCATCCTTCCCCCACCTTTTTGTTCGTTGGACCCTCCATGGATGGAACAATGTCTAATTGGTGAGGACAGATCATCTTTACTCAGCCTATTGATTCAAATGCCAGTCTCTTCCGGAAACACCCTGACAGAGACACCCAGAAAGAATCTGTTGCCAGCTATCCGGGCAACCTTAGCTCAGTCAAATTGACACGTACCATTAATCATCACAATAATCATGCCCAAGGATGTAAAAACTGCTCATAACAAATGAAAAGATAGGAAATCTCAGCAAAGAAGTAGAAACTATAAGAAAGAATCAAATGGAAAATATAGAACTGAAAAATAAAATATCTGAAACAAAAATGCACTGGATGAGCTTAACGAGAGAATTGAGATAACAGAAGAGTCAGGAAACTTGAAGACAGAACAATAGAAATAACTTAATCTGAAGAACAGAGAGAAAAATTATTCAAGGGAAAGGGGAACAGAGCCTCAGAGACGTGCAGGACAATAGAAAGCTCTAACATGTATCTAGGTGGAGTCTGACAAGGAGAGGAGAGAGTGACCGGTGCAGAAAAGATATTTGAAGACATAATGGCCCCAAATGTCCTACATTTGATGTAAGACACAGATTTACAGTGAACTCCAAGCAGGGTATGTAGAAATTAAATCACATACCCAAATTCTGTTGGCTTCATGGGCCCCACCTGTCCACACCAGCGTTCCCCCTTCCTTACCACAAGTATTTCTGGGAGTTTCCATGGGGATCCCAATGCATCCAGGGAGTTGGAGCCCTCTAGCCGCTGCTCCTCTCGGCCAGGCCTCCCACAGGTGGCAGCCGTGCTGGCTCAAGCCCCCATCAGTGCTCTCTGGCTGGGGTCGCTCCTCTGGGAAGATGCCAGCCCAGGCTTGCTGTTTCTGTCTTAGCCAAGAGTCTTTCGGTTGCAAACCACAGAAACTTACCTATGTAAATGCCACTGATAAGAACCAGCACTAGATGAGTTTTCCATTGTGTAAGAAATTACCACAAGCTTAGAGGCTTTAGATTACATACATTAGTAACCTCACAGTTTCTGTGGGTTAGGAGTCCAGGCATCACTTAGTTGGGTCCTCCTCTTAGGGTTTTGCAAGCTGCCATCAAGGTTCTGGCCGGGGTGCCTTCTCACCTGGAGGGCGCTTGACTGGGGGAATCTGCTCATGAGCTTGCCCACGTTGTTGGCAGAATTTACTTCCTTGTGTCTGCAGGACTTAGGGCCTTGACTTCTTGCCGGCTCTCAGCCGGAGGCTGCCCTCAGCTCCTGGACACATGGGCCTCTCAACCTGGCCACTTGCTTCTTTAAAGACAGCCAGGGGGAGAGACTCTTGAGTCACCCCACTGGCAAGATGGAGTCATAAAAGACAGCGTGATGGTGGAGGTGACAGCCCATCACTTTTGCCAAGTTCCATTGGTTACAAGCAAGTCACAGTTCCCACCCACACTCAAGGGGGTTGGGGATTATACGAAAGCCTGAGCACCAAGATGTGTGGCTCTTAGGAGAGAGGTCACTAGAGTTCGTCTGCCAAGAGCACTATGGAGCCCATGGTGGAAGTGAGGCAGGACTCCTGGGGCCCTAGGGCACAGCTGGATGAGAGTCAGGAAGCCAGGCAGCTGCAGTCTCCTCTCCATGGCTGCCTCGTCTCTCATCTCTGCCTCTCTCTGTGGGCTTTCCTTCTCCTTCTGCAGATCTGCTATGCCTCTGTGCCCACAGGCCAAAGATGACTCCCCGGCCCCCACATGGCCTGTAGGCTTCACTCTGAGTAGCCACAAGCATCTCTGTTTCTCCCTTCTGTTTTCTCACCCAGCCAGTGATCTAGCTTCCCCTGGGATAGGTGACCAGCCTTGCCCAATCACCTGCAGCCAAAAAGAAGCAGAGTTGTGAAACAAGCATGGCTCCAGAGGCCTGCCACTGGGGTGGGGACACTTCTCAGAGACGGTAGAGCGTAGGCTGGGCAGAGGCCACAAAAGACGTCTGCCTCCGCTGACTTTCCATGGTTTCCTGAGCTAAACAAACAAAAACACTCAAACCCTTCAGGAGCGAGGTGAGCAGAAGGTTCTCCTTGGGCTTCAAGGCACAAGCTAAATCGTGTTCAGCTGCGACATGGGGAGAACACCCACTGTCCCCAGAGGTCAGACTGAGAGCCTCAGGGTAGATCAAGGACTAGACACCACAATATCCCCCACAATGTCTTTGTATCTTTCTCCCCACTCTCTCTCCAGGCCCCTTGCAGCACAGAGGTTCCTTCCTCCAGCCTCAGCACAAACACAAAAAGTTCAAAGCCTTCATGCAAATCAGCTGTGCAAATAGATGCTCAGGGGCTCATAAATGCCCAGGCTTCATCAGATAGACTCAGACAACCCTGAATTCTCTCTGGGCTCGGAAGGTTTCTTTACAGAGCTGTCAGCAAGATTAGAGATGGGACACGTGGATCCTGAGCCTGCGTAGTAAGTCGAGGGGGGAGTGGTCCACAGTGAAGGATGAAGAAGGATCAAAAAAGAGGGGAAAGGAGACAGAAAGGGAAAGGAGAAGGCGGGCATGGTAACTGTCATGGTGATGATTCCGTCCAAAGACGGAACTCAGTGCTCCGGCCCCTTGCTACCCCCGGTGTGGCCCACAGAGCAGCAGTATCAGCACTGCCAGGAAGCTTATCAGAAATGCAGAGCCCCAGGCCCTACTCCACCCACTGGATCTGAATCTGCATTTTAGCAAGATTCCTCTGTGCTTTAACGTCTAAGAAGCATTGATCTAACCCACTGCTTCTCACACTTGGCTGTACATTGAATCACCTGTGAGTTTTTTTTTTTTTTTTTTTTTTTTTTACAGATGCTTGGGCCCCAGCTCCAGGGACCTGATGGAATGGTATTGGGTATGTCCTGGTCCCTGGGCTTTTTGGAAGCTCCCTGGATGGCTCGAATGAGCAGCAGACTGTGAGAACTGTTGCTCTAAACTGCTGCAGGAGCTAGGGTTGCATTCAGTGATGTGGAGCAGTGGCCATGGTATTACAAAAAAGAAAAAACAAAGTCTGGAGTCAGGCAGTCCAGAGTTGGGGCAATGGCTTCAGGAGGTTACTGAGGGCCCAGGCTCCTTCAAGCTTCCTGTTCTGCCAACAGTCGGGGACCATTATCCTCATAGTCACAACATGGCTTCTGTGCCCAAAGACATCTCATCTTCATTTCAGGAAGAAAAGGTGATAGGAGAAGGGATCAGGACAAAAGTACGTCCAAAGTGCAGCTAAGTCCACTCTCCTTTCACAAGCTTTCTTGGAAGCCCCACCCGGCATTTTTGGTTTATATTTCATTGGCTAGAACTATGTCACCTGGCTACCCATAGCTGCAAAGGAGACTTAAAACATCCAGCTACACATTTTAAGCTGGACATGGTGTCATCCTGAAAAGAAACTGCAGTTATGTTAGTAAGAAAGACAGGAGAATGGCTTTTGGTCAAGAATCCAGCAGGGGCTGGGTGCAGTGGCTCACACCTGTAATCCCAGCACTTTGAGAGGCTGAGGTGGGTGGATCACCTGAGGTCAGGAGTTTGAGACCAGCCTGGCCAACATGGTGAAACCCCGTCTCTACTAAAAATACAAAAACTAGCTAGGCATGGTGGCAGGCACCTGTAGTCCCAGCTACTCAGGAGGCTGAGGCAAGAGAATCACTTGAACTTGTCAGGCAGAGGTTGCAGTGAGCTGAGATTGTGCTACTGCACTCCAGCCTGGGGAAGAAGAGTGAGACTCTGTCTCAAAAATAGAAGAAGAAGGAGAAGGAGGAGAAGGAGAAGGAGAGGAGGAGGAGGAGGAAAGAAGGAGGAGGAGGAAGGAGAATAGGAGGAAGGAGAAGTAGAAGAAGAGGGGGAGGAGGAGGAAGAAGAAGAGGAAGGGGAAGGGGAGGAAGAGGAAGAGGAAGAAGGAGAAGGAGAAGGGGAAGGGGAAGGGGAAGGAGAAGAAGAAGAAGAAGAAGAAGAAGAAGAAGAGGAAGAAGAAGAAGAAGAAGAAGAAGAAGAAGAAGAGGAAGAGGAAGAGGAAGAAGAAGAAGAAGAAGAAGAAGAAGAAGAAGAAGAAGAAGAAGAAGAAGAAGAAGAAGAAGAAGAAGAAGAAGAAGAAAGAAGAAGCGGCAGCAGCGGCAGCAGCCAGCAGGGACAGCCACACCTCCCTGGAGCTTACCTACTGGCCTCCATGTCCTGCTCTGAGAGACACTCTGGTCTCCAACTGCTCACTCTCCTCTCTCTGTACCTCTGGAGACAGTTTCCACTGGTGAGAGACCACCATCCCAGCAATGTCTTCCTGCTCCCATCAGCACAGCCTCCACCAGTTAGGAATTATCCCCAGGCAGGTACCGGAGCACCTTTGGCAGGTCTCCCCATACCTTCCCAGGGACTGACGCCACGGCAGGTGCAGGTGGCTGGGGAGAGGCAAAGGAAGAAACCTCAGTTCTCACAAAAGTCACGGTGAAAGGAGCCCTCCCTCCACCACAGGTTGATTTCTGTAAAAGTCCTGGGAAACTGCAAGTAGTAAGAATGACAGAGACTTCGAGTGACAATGGTCAGAGTCTTTGGGGGGACTGAAGGCTGAGCCCTGACTCCACCAGCTCTCTGAGCCCCTCCTAGCATTGTTGGGAGACAGCAAGAAGAAGGCTCTAGCCCCTCCCAAGTGGTCTGAGGCTGCAGAGGCCGCCTGGGCTGGTCAGCCTCCCGGAGCTCTCAGCCCCCAGCCCCTCCCAGGCTGCCCTGTCCTTGCCACCCCCAAAGGAGGGGAACTGTCCAGGAATACATTTACTCTAGCAAATTATTCTGTTTCCAGATGGCTTGGGGCCAAAGCCATGTCATTTGCTGCAGTCTCTGCATAGAAGAGCTGGGCCAGCAGGACGCCTGGGGACACCGCAGGGTCTCTGAGAGGCTGCAGAGGTTCCCAGCAGCAGTGTAGTGTCACTGCAGCTGTCCACGGTCTCCAGGCCCTGGGGCTGGTCCCTTCGCCCCCTTCACCTGCTCTGAGCCATTTCCCATGGAGGTGGTAGCAGAGCCTGTGCAGGGAGAGAGGCTCCAGTCCTGACACTGACAAGCATTCAGCCAGGGAAGGGGCACTGCTGGAGGAGTGAGGGGAACTTACACCTTCCACACCCATATCCTGCCATGGGGAACAGAGACAAGTCTTGGCTCTGCCACCAAAGGACCCTGTGACATGAGCAAACCTGGGCCTTAGTTTCTCTAGTAGAAATGAGTATGGAAACTGGTAGAAACCAATATAGCTCTAGTTCCTTTCCTTCAAGGTGGGTTTATAAAGCCTCTTTGGTTTGCACTTTTAGTGTTTAGCAATCAAGTGATGTAGAATTGAGCCTCTTAGTATAAAAGATATATATAACTATACTAAGTTATAGCTTTGTATATTTACTAAGTAGTGATGATAACTATATATACTAAGATATCTTAGTATAGAAGATGCTTATTAGATATAACTAATATGCTTATTCTTATTTATATCTAACCTTCTATACTGAATATCTTCTATATTCCAGGTGATGTCCATGTATTTTCTTATTTAATCTCCACAGCAACTCTGCAGAGGTACTGCTATTACTCCCGTTTTACAGATGAGGAAACTGAGACTCAGATAATGAATTAGGATTAAATTTGGTGGCCAAAGACAGTATAACACAGGTAGCAGTGGCTTAAGCAAGATAGCTTCCAAGATTGCTGAAAGCTATATATTTATTTATCTAATATGTAGAAGTCAAGAGATAGTTACCCATAGTGGTTCTTTTTTTTTTTTTTTTTTTTTTTTGAGACGGAGTCTTGCTCTGTCGCCCAGGCTGGAGTGCAGTGGCGTGATCTCACTCACTGCAAGCTCTGCCTCCCAGGTTCATGCCATTCTCCTGCCTCAGCCTCCCGAGTAGCTGGGACTACAGGCGCCAGCCACTACGCCCGGCTAATTTTTTGTATTTTTAGTAGAGACGGGGTTTCACTGTGTTAGCCAGGATGGTCTCAATCTCCTGACCTAGTGATCCACCTGCCTTGGCCTCCCAAAGTGCTGGGATTACAGGCGTGAATGTAATCCACAGTGTAATCCACCGTGCCGGGCCAGTTACCTATTCTAAAGCTCTCAGTGTCAGGGATCCCAGGTCCTCCTGTCTTGTCGCTTTATCCTTCATTCCCAAGGTCACCTCATTATCCCAGACGACCACACCTTCTCTTTATAGATGGTCCCAGAAGTTGTCTGTGCCTCTTCTGCTTACACTTCATCGGCCAGAACATGGTCACATGGGCACATCTAGCAGCAACGGAGGCTGGCAAATGTAGTGATTGTTTTGGGTGATCCTCTGCCCATGAAAGATTGGCGCTTTATTGCAACAAAGGCAGTTAGGGGTAGTTAAGAGCATAGACTTCCCATTAAGTGAGACTGCCTGGGTTTAATCCTGTCTCCATCACTTACCAATGGTTACCCTGGGTAGTTCATTCGTTATTTATTCAACAACAGCCATTGAGCGTCTACTCTGTCCCAGGCATTGTTCTGGGCACTTGGGATATAGCAGTGAGCAAAAAGACAAAGATGTCTGCCCTTGTGGAATTTATATGCAAGTGGAGGGAAATAAACGAGCTAATAACACGTAGTGTGTTGGGGAGTATTCTGTGATGGGAGAAGGACAAAGCTGGGAAGACATAGGAAGTGCATGTTTTCACAGGGGCTGGGTGATGCCCTAGGAGGAGCCGACACTTGAATAAAGACCTAGAGGATCTCTGGGTGAGAGTGTCCCGAGGAGGGGGAGCCTCCGTGCAAAGGCCCTGAGGCAGGATTGTGTCTGGCTTGACTGAGCAAGGAGGCAGAGTGAGGGCGGGCTGACTTGGGGATTAGGACTTGGGCTCCGCTCTGGGTGACACAGGGCTGCAAGAAGAGGGCAATGAGGAAGGAATGACGATCAACAGATCACCCGGGCTGCTGTGTTGGGAATAGACTTCCGGGGGCAGAGAGAGAGGAGGGAAGCTCAGCAAGAGACTGCCAGGGTGAGCTGGAGAGAGGCAACGGTGGCTGGGCTAGGGTGGGGTAGTGCATGGGAAGTGCGGGGAGCTGGGAGGATTTGCCAACCCATCGCCTGTGGGGTGCAAGGGAGAGAGGTAAGGGTGACTCCAGGTTGGCCTGAGTGGCTGGAAGAGTCCTGAAGAGTCCCACTTCCTAGGGAGGGGACAGCTGTGAGTGCAGCAGGTCTAGAGGTAAGGGCTGGGGAGGGGAGCATGAGGAGCCTGGGCTTGGACAGGTAGCATATGAGGGACTATTGGGTAGGAGCAGGAAGGCAGGTGCATATGTGAGCCTGGAGTTCGGGGAGAAACCCAGGGTGGAGACATACATTTGGCATTCATTAGCCTATAGGTGATATTTAAAGGTTGCAATGAGCTGAAATGAGATTAAGGAGGTAAGTAGGGTTATTTAATCTGTGCATGCCTCAGTTTCATAATCTCTGAAGGATTAAATGCAGTGAACTGCAAAGCGCTTAGACCACTGCCTGGCCACAGCGAAAACATCTGTGCTTGCTGTGGTGGTGATTATTATAATTCACTCAGGCAGCTGTGTTTACCACCCGGCCCATCCAGTGAGGGGCTTGGGTGACTGCTGGGAGCTCTAGGGGAGTGGTGCTGAGAAGGCCGGACATCACCTCACCTGCCATTCAAGGCCTTCACAGCTCGGCCTGCCTTCCAGACTTAACCCCTGATGCTTCTCCACCCAGGCCCTCCCCGCACCCTCTGCTCCCCTCACACCATGCCAGTCACTCCTGCCAAGCACCCCAGGGTGGCTCCTCTGCTGCTGTCCCTGCCTGGCATCCCAGGGTGGCTCCATCTCTGCCGCCGTCCCTGGCTCCCCAGGGTGCCTCGGTCTCTGCCCGCTGGTGGCCTGGCACCTCCTCCACCCACCGTCCCTCCAGGTCATGCTCTTCCAAGGTCTGTTGAGAAGACCCATTTAGGCAGCCCTGAGGGATAAAGGACACCCCTCAAGGTGGCTCTGTGGGAAATAGGGTCAGGTGGACCCTGACTGTTCAGTACTCAGGAGGTTTATGTAATGACCATATTTTATGGCCCTAAAAGGAGGACCCAAGGCCTGGCCAGGCTCAGGGCAGCACTCCCCGACTGGCGGGACGGTGGGTGGGCACTTCTGAGCGCTGTCCTGGAAGGCAGGGGCCCTGGGCTGTGGCTGCAGTTGAGGAACTAGCAGCCGGCACACACGGGAGTCAGTGCGGCCCCCAGAAGTCTGGGAAGTCCCGGTGCTGCCCCCACTGCCACCCACCCCAGAGTCCCCAGGGCTCCCCACGGCCGGAACCCTCTGTGCACACCAGGGCCACGGCAGCATCCTGGGTTATTTTACAGGGGGATGTGAAATGTAAGGAGCCTGCCATGGTCTGCAGGCTCCCTGTCACATTACCCTTTATCTGACAGCTGTGGCTTGCCTGGGATGAAGAAATGGTGCCCATTCTTGCCCAATTCTGGACTCCATTTCAGGAAGGAGGATGCACGGGGTTGGAGGGAATATTGCCTCTTGTCCCCTTAACCCTTTGAGGGCATAGCCAGGGTCAGTATGGCCAGCCCCACTGTGGACAGTCTACAAGGACCATTGTCCCCCTTCACTGCAGAGGTGAGGGCACATGCCCAGATCACAGAGCTACCACATCGGGACAGGAGCAGGGACTGGGATCCAGGCCTTCTGACTTCAGATCCAGGCCACCCTCTGCTCCACACTGCCTGGCTCCCAGCCACCAAAAGACACCCTGGCTTCTGAATTGTGAGATGGAGAGTTGCAAAGCGCAGGGGTGGATATGGGGCTCGGAGGTCAGCCTGGCTGGGTTTGAATCTCCCCTTCCACTTCCTGGTGCTGCAGACAACCATATAACCCTCTGTGCCTCAGTTTCTTTTTGGTAAAAGACTAATAAAAGGTTGATTGTGAAGATTCAATGACTTAAAGCTCTCAGGAGAGGTCTGAGCATGTAGTACACACACGATCGATACTTACTACCATTGGTATTTCCGACGGGTTATTTAGCACATACGTGTGACCCACCTGGGAGAGTTGGGCTCTGGGGGGCCTCCCAGAGGCTAATGGGCATCTGTGGGGTCCTGGCTGGTGCTGTGTCCCCCAGGACTCCTCAAGTCCTCTTCCTGTTTAGCCCCCAGCTCCGTCTAATGCAGGCCTGGCCTCTTCTTTGCAGATTTTAATGAGAATGGCTTCATTGATGAGGAGGATCTGCAGAGGATCATCCTGCGACTGCTGAACAGTGATGACATGTCTGAGGACCTCCTGATGGACCTCACGAACCACGTGTGTGCTGGGGGCTGGGAGTTGGTGGCTGGGGCCGGGGATAGGGGCCAGGTTGTCACCCAAAGCCCCCGGATGTCAGGCCACCCTCTTGGGAGGAGACCCAGGGCCAGCCTGAGGCAGATGACACATTGGCCTTTGGTGCACACATTCCCTGGGGGCTGCCAAGGGGACAGGCAGCTCAGGGTGCCCTGAGGAATGGGCACACAGCTGGAGGCAACTGCCCCTCCACTTTCTGTCCTTCCTCCAAGTCCTTTCCAGGGTCCCCAGAACACGGAGCCCGACCCACCCACTCGAGGGGCCTCCCTACATGACAGGGACTGCCATTGGTGGGCCAACAACAGCTCAACCTCAGAGGGACCCATCTCAACATCCCCTCCCCACTCTGTCCCAGCACAACACAGTGCCCAGGTGTCCTGGAGTGACAAACACGAGGACGGCCCTGCAAACTCAAGTCAGGGCATGGATCTCTGCTTTCAGAACATGACAAGTGTCCAGCATTTCCAGTCTCGATGGGGACTAGAAGATAAAACCATAAGCACTGTTGAGGGAGTCACCACCGCCTCCCTGCCTGCCTGGGCCCCCTTCAGTGCAGAGCCCCTGTGTGTACTGGTTGGTGGGGCAGGTGGGGGACACTCTTGTTCTCTCACTGCCAGGCTCGTGCTGGAGGCCCCAGGAGTGAGAGGCAACCAGTAGGGTCCCAAACTTTGGTGCACATAACCTAATCTCTGTGGGGTCACTGGGGTCAGGGGACCCAGGAGACAAGTGTTAAGCATGTGGGAGAGCCCCTGGCATGTGGCTTTCCCCCTCCACCCTGTGCCCCACCTCACTGCCTGACATGGGGTTCCACTCAACTGTCTTCTGTGCTCCCTCGCCAGGTCCTGAGTGAGTCGGATCTGGACAATGACAACATGCTGTCCTTCTCAGAGTTTGAACATGCAATGGCCAAGTCTCCAGATTTCATGAAGTAAGGCATTCTGGAGGGGGTGAGACTGTCCAGGAGAGTGGTGGGGGCAGGAAGGGCCCCCAGTCTCTCCTCACTCCATGGGACATCTCAGTCTTCCCAAGAAGGCTGTGAGTTTCCAGAATACTTTGCAGATTCTTTCAGAGTCAGCAAAACTGGAGATTCTGAGAAATTAGGTAACCCTGGGGTATTAAAAGGCAGAGGAGAGGACTGGATCCCAGGCTTTGGGAATGACGTCACAGCTCCAACCTCAGAGCATTCCCTGTGCCAGCTGACACACCTCTGTGCTTCTCCCAAAGCCCACTAGGCTCCTGACGACCCCACTGCCTCCAGCGGCCAACTGGGAGGTAGGGGTTTACAGGGGGGATCTGAAGATGCTGGTGGTGGAGCTCATAGAAAAGAAACAATGAGAGAAGCACCCAATTCTATTTCTTAGAGCAGGAGGGGCCCAAAGGGTCTTCTGAGGCCCAAACGTCCTTGAGAAGGCTGGCCATCTCCAGATCTCCCTGGCCACGTTGAAGTCTTTTTGGGGTGCTGCTGCTTTCGGGAGATGCGTGCCCCCTGGAGGCAGCGCGTGCCATGGAGGACCAGCCGGGTGGAGCTGGCGTCTCCTGCTCCTGGGTCCGACTCTGCCCCTGGTCTCAGAGGTGCGCTGATTTCAAGTATGCCCACTCAAGGTGCTTTTACAGACTAAGGGAAACAGAGCAAAGAGCTAGACCTCAGCCAGCACCAGGGCAGGAGCCCGGGGCTGCTGGGTCCCTCTGTGCCAACGTCTCTGCCTCCCATCGCCCCTCCACGCTCACTCTGTGCTGTGCACCAGCTGTCTCCGCTTTGTCAGACATAAGACCATGCACGGCCTCCCTGCAGTGGTCAAGTTTATACCTCCTTGGTCTTGAGTGACTTTCAGTGACTCCTGAGTAACACCTCTCAGCTCTGACTCCAAATCCCCAGAGACAGAATCTGAGTGGCCATGGTCAGGGGTCCTCCCCTCTTCTGACTGCCTGGATGAGGAGGGGGCTCCTCATTCCAACAGGCCTGCTAGGGCCTGTGGCCTGGGTGGCCCCTCTCTAAGGATGCACACTTGGGACCACCCCAGCCAAAGCTAACTCCTCTTGTTCTGTCACAGCCCAGCACATAATTGAAGCTGGCACCCCGACTGCTCAGAGTTTCTCTTTGAATCTCTTCCATTTCTTTCCACTGATTCGAGCACCACAAGGTTCCTTCTGGTGCCCTGCCTTTGCCTTGGGGTGATGCTGAAAGAAGCTTAAAGAAGGTTTGGGGTTGCTTTGGGATGGCTGCAAAGTGGCCGTCACCCAGAGAAAGGGACACGAGATGCAGGCCGGGGAGGGAGCCTCCAGGACTACTGTGAACCCAGGAGTCAGAGGGCCCCTTGGACCTGCGGGCTCACATGGCTCACGGGATTCTTTCTTTCAGCTCCTTTCGGATTCACTTCTGGGGATGCTGATGTAGCGGCAAACACCTGACATGGCAGCCTCGAGGGAGACCACAGGAATCGAACCCCCTCCAGCACTGGAGGGAGCTGGTTTGAAGTATGACTTTGTACTGGGCCCACACTCACCTCTAGAATATTGTTTATTAGATAAAAGAAAAAGCTTTTCCTTAGCCCATCAGATCATCGCTTTTTAAATGCAGGGTCATACATGGTACTTTTTATTAAGAACTGCCCTTTCCAGGGCTTCAGTGTGCCAGCGATGTCAAGCAGGCTGGGGTGGCAATCTTTCTGAGGGAATAGTTCAAATCTCAACCCATGTCATAGCAGGGGGCCAAGCCAAATGGGATGAAGGTCCCTAGCAAGATACATGTCCTTCCCTCCCTTCATCAAAACCCCCGACCCCCAGCACCTCACAGTTCACAGCTGCACAGAGACGTGCACATAGCAGCCATTCCAGCCGGTGCCCGGCTCCCCACTCCCCTTCTGAGGGAGAAGGCATCTTGGCCCTGATTGTGGGACCAGCAATTAGAGTTTATTTGCTTTGCTATTCAGCCAAGCCCTGGAATGAATTTGGCCACCACAGACAGCCTTTGGGGTCCAGCTCCTCAGGGACTTTGAGACACAGAAGAAGCCCCCCATTGGGTTTTTCTTATTTACACTGTCCTGGGGGAGGTGTCTAATCGCTGGCTACAGAGGAGGGGCTGCTTCAGCCCCAGGTGTACTTGAACCGGGCTGTGTTCCCCTTGCAGTTAGGTCCTGATTCACCCATTGAAGGACAATAAGGGCCTTGTCCCTTAATGGAGGGCCCTTGATCAAATCTAAGAGGTGCTGGAATGTTGGAGAAGGTCCCCGCCTTGGTCTAAGGTCCCCATCCCAGATCCTGTCACTGAGGGGCTCTCACCCCCGTCCCACCCCTGCCCCAGCAGGCAGGAGCCTCCTGGGAGGTAGGAAGCAGCAGCCTTGTGGGAGCAGACCCTCCAGACCCTCAAAGACCACCCCAGGCATGTGGCTTCAGCACCCATGCCCAGCATCCACTTCCGGCCTGGGGCCCCGAAACATAGGGATTCCTGGAAGAGTTGTCTGGTCCTAGGTCATTCCCTCCCATCGTCTTCTAGAAACAGCTTCAGGGGTAGATGCTGCATCCACCCTACCAAGCCAGCCTAGGCAGAATGCAGAAGGTGCCTGCTGCACACAGCTTCTTCTCCCAGGCTCCGCCCTCCACAGACTCCTTCAGGATCCCCAGGTTTATGTCTTCCCCGCCCCTCAGTCTCCACATGGACCACAAGCAGGCTGTGTCGTGGAAAAACCAGGGCTTGGGAGTCAGAAAGACCTGAATTCAAATTCTGGCTGTGTTACTTCCCAACTATGTAAGCTTGGGCAACTTTCTCACCTTCTCTGAGCCTCAATATCTTTATCAGTAAAGTGGGGATAATAACACCTCTTCCCTCACAAGTGATCGTGTGGACAAAACGACGCCAAGTCAGGGCTCTGATGAAAATTCCTTTCCAATCACACCCAGTGCAATTATTCTGGGGTCATTTCCCCTTCATTCTTAGACCGGCGCAATTGGACTTCCTTGCTTATACCAGTGGAATCTGGTGGGAGGTCTCTGTACCTGAGTGACCTGCCACTAAGACTAGGGAACCCTACATTCCTCAACTCCATTTGCCCCACCTTGGGGAGAAGGTAGCTGGACCTGCCAGGTAGCCGGACACCACTTTTCCTTGGCTTGAGTCCCTGGGACAGAGCTTTCCGCAGGCCCTCAGGACACAATGCTGTGTGACCTTCAGGGGGCATTTCCTGCTGTGGCCGAGTGTCCCTGGGATCCAGAGGAGAGATGGGTAGCATGGTCATGGCTAAAGATTTTATTCCAAGCAAGCCAGGCTGGTCACGACCCAGGATCTCAGGCATCAGGCTCTGCTCTGAACTAAAAGTCTCATGCTCTGAACTCAAAGTAGCAGTCTCTCTTTTTCCGCTCCTGTGGAGAGACCCTCTTCCCTGATGGGAAGGTCTGGTAGGTCTTCAGGTTCTCGGGGGCTAGTCTTAAAAGGTGCCACTTCTTCTTTGGGCACAGAGGAGGCCTAGGGGTGAGGATGGGACTGGTGTTATGCAGTGTGCCAGGGAAGGAAGGTGGTGCGTGCCCACCCACAGCCCCACGTGCCCACTTTCCAGCTCAAGCTGACCTGCCGGCTACTCGTCAGTTTAACACCTGATAAGTCCCCCTGGACTTGGGGTGGGAATAACCTGTATTTACATAATGGCACAGTGGTTAAGAGTGAGGACACAGATGTCAGACAGACCTGGGACGGACTCTGGTCCTAACTCCTGCTAGAAGTGTGCATATTTAAGAATGGCCCAGTGGTGGTATCCCCCTCTTAGCTTTGACTTGAGGAATAAATGCAGTAATGCATGTGAAGCTCTGGACAAGGAGTAAACACACAACAAATGTTCTAAGAAATGGTGATGGTGCTGATGGAGGGGATTCCGGGAGGGAGGGGCTTGCCCCAGGCCTGTCACTGACCCTCTTCTCCCAACCACCTGGTTGGCCCTTTGCGTTCGTTGTGAAACTGTCAGCAGCAGTGCAAGTGGCCAGGCAACCTGAAGAAGGAACAGAGTTGAGATGTCCCGCTCTCCCCACAGTGATGGGGATGGGGGGCAGATCCTGGCCAGAGCCATCTCAAGAGGATACCTGTCCCCAGGAGAGTCCCACTATACTCTAGGGATGGACTGGCTCAGAGCCATTCCAAGATTAGAGAGAGCCCCCGAGTCCTAGAGGTGGTGATGGGAGATGCTGCTTCCTTTCCAAGCTCTGCCTCCAACCATCCAGGCCACGCAGCACAAGTTCCCCAGGCGATCAATGAGCCTCACGTTCCCTTTTTTGTAAAATGATCCTGTCTGACTTGCAAAAAGGAACTTTTAGATGCAGTGAAGCCTGTTTCTTTAAAAACCATTAAACTTATGAAAACAGATGCTGTTTTATCAGTAAGGATGATGGTGAATCTTAGGACTCTGAGGCAAGCCGGGAGTGGTTGGCATGGAGCTAAATCCCAAGCTCTATCCACTGACCTCCCAGGCCAGGCACCACCCACCACCCTACCCCACTCCAGGACACCTCGTGTGAGCCAATGATCCCCCTGCCTGCGCTTCAGGAAGGAGAGAGCACAGAAACCACAGTACCCAAGTCATCTTTCAGGGCAGAGTGGGCCTTCCCTGGAGAAAGGAGCTCTCCTAGATAAAAGCAGAGAGGGGCAGGAGGCAAGGAACTTTCCTATTTAGTTAGATGGACAGAAAGTCCTTAGGAGAACATTTTCCAAATGTGAACGGGACCGGGGGAGATTCCTGCTCGGTGTAGTGCCCTCTGTATCCACCAGAGGGCAGCAGCTCCTTACTGCGCTCTGCATCGGCGCCCACGTTAGGACTAGTGTAGCTGCCAGGCTGCCTTTGCAGGCGGGGCATCAGTCCGCAGATTCAGGCCCACTAAGCTTACGGAGCTTCTCCCAAACTCCCAGTGCATCTGGCCGGGAAAGCACTCTTCCTGATTCGCCCATTCAGGCTACCACCATCCCCCCTGAGGCTGCCAATGCCCTGACCCCCTTGCTCTGTAACCATCACTCTCTGCACTGCACGTTTTAGGGCAAGATCCTCAACTCATTTCTCAGTCTGTGTGCTGTGCATGCCTGGCCGAGAGCAGGTGCCCCATGGGTGCGTTTCTTGACTGCGTAGATGAAGGGAGGGCAGGCACTCACAGGACGGTGGGGAGGGGGTACCGTTCCGGCTCCCTCACGGGCATCGCAAAGTAGGGGACTCGAGGCACTGTGCCCGTCTTGTCTTGATAGTACTTCCGATGCTGCTGGACCATCTATGGTTCAATCAAGGAAGAGATGACAGGTTGTTAGTGCACAGGACTGACCACAGGCACCTGCAGTCCATGCCTCGCTGCACCTGGGCAGGGTTGGGGGCCACCTCCCCTAATGCCCCCGGAGGAGTCCCGGAGTTGCTGGGGCCCCAACTCAATTGCCAACCAGCTGGGTGTCCTCACTGAGTCACGACTTCTCATCTGCCTAATGGGAATAACGACACCCACCAGACCAGCTTTGCTATGGAGAGTAAACAAGACAAGGGACAAGCTCAGACTGAGTACAAAAACCCAGCCCCGCAGGCGTACGCACACCTGCTGTGCACACAGGCACCATGTCCGCCTGGCCTGTGTTTCCTCCCCCCTCTCCTTCCCCACTGTACGGGGCATGTTCTGTTGAGCGCCAAGATGGAGGGAGAGGCTTTGGCAGACCCCCTGAGATGGTCGCACATGGCTCAGAGGCTGGTGGCATCAACCTCCTCCTCTCCCGAGGAAGCTGCTTTACTCATACAAGTTCTCTGCCCTGGGGCCAGGACACACCTTGTCCTTGCAATCAGGCTAGAGGGGGAGGCTTGTGAGAGAAGGTGATGGAGAGAGTAAGGTTTTGGGAACACAGGAGAGAATGAACCCTTATCCCTGCCAAGGGCATAAGGGCCAGCTCAGGCCCATGCACCTGTGGTCTCTGGGGATGTGTCTGAACCACATCCAGGGAGGCTTTACCAGCCTGAACAGCAGGACAAGAACAACAGGGGTGTGGGTGGGTCCCCTTCCTCGAGCTCACTCCCTGCAGGGCAGTCTCGCCCAGGCTGGGGCTGAGAGTGACTCAGAGCATGCCCCCAGGGGGCTGCAGGGCAGGGAGGGGTGAGCAGGCTCCAGGACACAGGTGGATAAATGCCGTGGGGCTGGAACTGGGGCTGGGGGCTGTAGTGGGGCCTTTGCTCGTGTGTTATTCATCTGGTGGGTGGATCTTAGACCTTATACTCACCTACAAAATATATGGCATTCCACAGATCCAAGAGACTCCAGGGGGCAGAAGGTAAGGGCAGGAGCCTAGAGACAGGTCCCTAGAGACCCCTAGCTCCACTGGCAGTGGGAGTGAGCAGGAGTTGGGGGTCCTGAAGCCCCGGGAGGTGGGGAGAGATCAGAGGGGCAAAGTCCTGAGCCTCCTTACTCCCTTTAGCCAAGCCCACCATGCTCTCTGCTGGCTCAGGGGCTCTGAGAAAGGAAATCAAGACACTGTGGCAGGTGCGAGGTCTCCCCCTGGCCCCTGGCCATCACTCCCTTCCCGTGGTGGGGGCAGGTGGGCAGGAGGGGAGGCCACAGGGCAGCCCCACACAGCTTACCTGGTAGAAATTCGTAAGCTCTGTGGAGCGATGGCTGTCCAGGTTGAAGCGAGTGTAGCTGGGCTTGTGCAGCCAGCGGTCCCGGGTGCTGGCGCGCTCCATCAGCAGGAGGTTGGGGTTGGTGGAGAAGATGGTGGGGAAATGGCCGCCTTGGCTGAAGGGAGTGTGGCTCTTCTCCATGGCTCTGTTGCGGTGGTCCTGGAAGTACTTGAGGGTGGTGGTGCCGTAGGGAGCGCCAAAGGAGAAGGCCACAGTGGGGACGTGGCCCTGGTACCTGCCGATCACGGTGGGGGTGGTGGAGCCACAGATCAGTGAAGGGCCCCAGGCCTGTTCCAAGAGAGGCCCTTAAAAGTGGAGGATGCTGTGGCTCATGCCTGTAATCCCAGCATGTTGGAAAGCTGAGGAGGGAAGAACACCTGAGCCCAGGAGTTCTGAGACCAGCCTGGGCAACACAGTGAGACTCTGTCTCTACATAAAAACATAATAACAATTAAGAAAAAAAAAGATGAAGGGCAGAGTCAGGGGAGCCCGGTGGCCATCTTTGGCCCTAAGAGGCTTCCCCAGGTGCACTGACCTGCTCAGGTCTTTGGGGATGGCCAAGTCCAAGGGGCTCTGGGCCTCTCCCTCCCCACAGAGGTCTTTGCCTAGATGCTCCTCTCTCCAGACCAGGGGCTTACACAGGGGCCAGAACACCAGATACCCCCCCAGTCAATGCTGTAGGCAAATCACTGTCCCTCCAGGGGCCCGCATTTACTCAGGCGTTGGCCTGAAGATGCAAAGGCCTCCTCTGGCTCCCACATTCTGCAGTTATCTCATGAAAGAGTAGGGGGAGTATGAGAAGTGGGTGGGGGGCCCGGTCAGTGAACAGCGATGGGTGGGAGATGTGGTGTAGCAAGGCGTAGGTTCAGGACGCCGCAGCCTTGCTCCCAGCACAGCAGCCTCCCAACACGCTACTCAGACAGCCTGGAGAGCTGACTAAGGTTCTGGAGCTCTGAGAGCCTACAAGGAGTCTTCCACCCTCTGTGACCAAGGAGGTTCCAGGAGAGGGACAGGAGATGGGCGAGCGGAGGCCTTGGTGACACAGGCACTCTAGAGATCCTTGGTTAAATGAGACTCGCTCCAAGAGCTAAAGACTTGTTTTAACAAAGCAAGGGAGAGTCAACAACACCCAGAGAGTACAGGCGCCAGACTCGCGGCCAATGCGGAAGCTTGCCGAGCAGCACGGCCCTGTGCCCCCATGCATGCCTCACTCTCTGGGGTCTGACTTCTGCTCCATGAGGCCCTTGAAATCGCTCTTCCCAAGGCCGCCTGTGCTCTTGCTGCTGCAGGTCGGTGGACATGCTCTGTCTTGCTGGGCCTTCCAGTAGCACAGGGCATCACCCACCTCTCCCTTCCTGAAACGCTGCTGTTGGTTTGGATGACACCTTTGCTCCTTTCTGTTGCTTTTGCCAACATCTCTGACCACACCTTCATGAGCCTTCTCCTCTGCCCGCCTCTTAAACACTGGTGAACCTCCGGGGTCTGTCTTGGGTGATGGCAGCCATGCCATGGCCGTAGCCACCTCCTGTGTGCAGATGAACCCAGTCCACAGCTCCCGCCTGGGAGTTCTCTCCAAGCCTTAGGCTGCTATGTACAATTGCACACCAGACATATCCCTTGGATGTCTCCCAGGCTTGATCTCCCACCCCCACCTTCCCTGACAGTCTGGTCCCATCTCTGTGAAAATTTCCCCCTAGCCATCCAAGTCAGAAACTGAGGCATCCACCTCACCCACATCTAGTCAGTCACCAAGTCCTGTAGCTCCATCTGCACCACCTGAGCCCAGCCATGTGCCCTTGTACCTGGCCTGTGGTCATAACAACCTCACTGTTCTAACTGCACCAGACCCCTGCCCCTGCAATCCCTTCTCCAGCAGACTGAACTTTAGTCCAGAGTCAGATCCTCGGCGTGGCATTCGAGGCCATCTGTGATCTGACCCGGGCCCAGCTCTCCAGCCCCATCACCTCCTCTACATCCCAGTCCTGCAGAGTCATCGCAGCCATCTAGATGTAACTCCGTCCCCTACTCTCACCTCTTCTGGGGTCTTTCCCTGTGCCTTGGGCCTCGGTCTCCTCACCAACAGAACGGGCGCTGCCTGGAATTAGATAGCAATGCATGGTTTCCTTCTTTTCTGTCTTCAGGAAAAAGGCAAGGAAGCGAAGCCGAGTGACTGCTGACAGGACTGCTCACTGTAGGGAAGCTCACACAAAGTGAGTCCTGCCCTGGCTCCTGGTCCCACCACCCTCAACAGTTGTGCCTTCCTGGGGTCTCACAGCATCTGGCATTGGCTGGGCCAGAGCTGCAATGAGGCTGCAGAGGGGAGAGGCTCCACCCCAGCTGCACAGGCACCCCCTCCAGCCTCACTACTCACATCCCTGGATGCCACAGAGGCGCCGCCCTTGACACCGTGACCCTGGCGGTCCTGACTCTTCTCCACCACCTCAGTGCCCTTCCTCCTTGGCCCCCTGAGTTCCCCGCGGAGGCCAGGTCTCCTCTGGAACTGGGAAGACGGAGGAATTGGTGGGTGCCTTGCTCTCTCTCCTGTGAGGCTGTGTGGTCACCTTGGCCGCTTCAGGAGACAGAGTCTTCCTCCCGGCCTGGGCGCCACTCCTGGGTCTGGAGCTCCTGCTCTGGTTTCACCCAAGGCCTCATTGTCCCATCCGACTCCTCCCTGTCTCTCTCAGCCTCTGCCCTTCTTCCGTCATCTTTAATATCCCCCTCCCTCTCGGCCTCTTCCCCTCTGCCTGTAAGTGGGCATGAGCCGTGGTTCCTAGATTGTACATTTCCACAGTAAAGGCTGGTGCCCGTTTATAGGCAGAGGGGAAGCAGCCAAGAGAGGAGACATTAAAGATGGCGAAGAGGAAGGCGGGATTGCAGATTCCCTCCCTCCTTCTGGAGCTCACTAAGGAATACGCTGCATCTTCTGCCTGATTTCTCAACTCTCACCCTTTCCTTGACCTCCCTCAGTCTGCCTTCAGACCCACCATTGAAACGTGAACCTCTACATCTAAATTAAGGTCATATCAGGTCCTGCTGTTGCCAAATCCAATGTCCTCGGCTCACACTGTCCCGCTGCAACATTCGCACTGATGAAGAAACTTGTTTGGGAAAAAACCTAACCTGTGACGTGTAAGCAAGTTCCTGAGAGCACTTCGTGCTGTAGATGAAGCTTAATCAAGATATAGATTCAATAAATTAAGATGTCAAAGACAAGTGATGGGGAGATGCTGCCTCCTCTATCCTGAGGGCTCCTCCCACGTGGAGGGGAGGTTCCTCCCACACTGGAACCATCGGGCAGCCTGTGGCCCACCTCTCCCCTCCCTCCTTCTCCTCCTCGGAAGCAAGGAAGCCTGCTCCGCCCCTCCAAGCCTTAGGTGTTAGATGGACAGGCTCTGCCCGTGGGGAGGAGGCCGGCCCCAGCGCCTGTCTCATTCTGAGGCTGTGTTCACCCCATTCTCTAACAGCCACATTCCTCTTTCACCTTCTTTCTCAAGTGGTTCAGAATGTAGGGAATGGAAGAGATGCTCATCTCCAGGTGCTGCCAACCCCAGCAAAAAGATGAAGTGATAGAATGAAAGGCAAAGGAAGATACCCACAGCATTCCGCAGGGAAAAGAGCATAACCCAAGAATACCACACCAGCCAGGCGGTCACAGGGGTACAAAGCCACCCTTTCCTAGCATGAAAGGGCTCAGCAACTAAAGCACCCACAAGCTCTTCTTGAAAGTCATGTTCAGCGACAAAATCCTGCCAATCAAGAGATGATTCAAGAGAAAAAAAAAAAAAAACCAACTCAGTAATGTAGAGCCTCTGTTAGAATGAGTGGTGGTGAGCTTCAAATCTATTGAAGTGCAGAACCAGGAATAGCAACTAGGTGAATGCTAGTTACAGAATGGAATGTAAATGTTATAAAACCTGTCAAAGTAAAACTAATTTAAGCAACCAAAATTGGGGGGTGGGTGGAGGGGAGATGGGGGTGCACTTACTAAGAATCTCTTTAAATCAGAGTCAACCCATGGCATCTAAAATTGAAACACATCGTTAGAAAAAAGTACAACATAATGGCTTTAGTCCTTTGATGGTTTTTATCCTCTCTCTCTCTCCTATAGTGGGATCTTTTTGTACTAATATCTCTTGTGATGAATTAACACTTATCTCAAATCTACTTATTCTTCCATTTTACTTCAGTTTCTTTCTCTTCAGTTAAGTTCTATTAAGATTCAATTTCATGCTTTTCATTTTAAAATAGCAAATATGGTATGATTATATTTTTATAAAGTTGCTTTTGTCTGTCTTTATATCCATCCATCCATCCGTCCATTCACTCCTCCATCTAGTCCTTTATCTGAATATACACATAAGGTCTACAGCCATACCACCCTGAGCGCGCCCGATCTCGTCTGAATATACACATAAAGAGAAACTCTGAATAAAATGCACCAAACGTTGACCCTGGATAATTCAGGGTGTTTGGATTTCGGGTGATTTGTGGCTTTCTTCTTTGTACACACATCATTTTTTAAAAACAGAGTCAGATGGCATGAAACATTAATTTATCAGGAACCTGCTGTGTGCTGGCACCATACTAAGTGCTGGGAACACAAAGACCCACGGTGCTCAGCCTGCCTTCCCCAAGCCCAATCCTCACTCGGTGTTTACTGAGTCATGGGGTGCATGTGTCAGGCGCCATGCTGAGCTGGCCTGGGTACAACCAGCTCCAACCCAAGTGGGACCATGGTCAAGGTTCTAGTGCTATCAACCACAAGGAGGGAAGGCCATTCCCAGGGTGGGTACTGGAGGAGCTCCATGACAAGTGTCCACTGGGGTGAGGCTTTGAGGAAAGTCCCAGGGCAGGGGGAGCCCCTGGGTCTGGCTCCTTCCCCAGGCGATGGTGTTGCCCCAGGGTCCTCTTCTCTTTTCAGGGACCCATTCCTTCTGGGAGATCTCATCTGTGTTAGACTTCCAACATGTCCCGTATGTCAATGACAGCCTCTCTACCTCTGGGTCTCCAGCCTCCACCATTCTGGCAATGGATCCACATGCCTGGCAATGGATCCACACAAGGCTGGGCCACCACGCCACAGACTCAGCGCCACTGAAACTGCTCTTCCTCCAGTATATCCCTGCCCCCTCCAACCTCCACCTAAGCCAGAAACTGGGACTTGATGGCTTCTCCATCACCCTCCATCACCCTCCACATCTGACCTCTCCCTAAGTCCTGCTTAGGCCCCTCCTTAGCCACTGGCCTGTGGCCCTCCTCCATCCCACTGCTGCGAGCCTCCCTCATTGCTTGCCTGGACAATCTCCAATCTCCTCCCTGGTCTAAATGGAGCATCACCCCCTCCAGCCTGCTGTCCATACAGCACCAGAGCCATCCCTCCTCTCGCCCATCACTGCACTGTAGGTGCCCTGGGCCCCAGCAGCGTTACTCCCAGTCTCTGGGGCCCCACTTGCTCTTCAGGCCTCTGGGCCTTTGCATGGAATTCCTTTCCCTGGGATGCATTTTCCCTGTTGCCCATCTGGGGATCTGCCACCCACTCCTAAGGATCCAGTGCCCTCTGCTACCTCCCCTGACTGCACACCCTGTACCTAGCACCTGCCTCACTGAGAGGACTATCATCCTCAAGTCCACACTCAGACCCGAATGAACTTGTCTCTTCTTCTGCTAATCCGTGTTCTCCTTTATCCTTGGCACCTGGCACATGACAAGTGCTCAACAAATGTTCACTGGAGGAGGCAGAATTCCAGAAACTCTGGGGGCACCATGCCCTGGAGTCCTGATTTAAGAGGAGCGTGGCTCTGATCAGCAGAGCACATGCTGGCATGAAGCATCCCGCCTACAGGGGCGATGGGCTCCTCCGAAGAAAGGAGCCATAGAAAAATGATGTGTTCTCGTGATTCTTCTCTCCGCCCCCAAGCTCTCTGCCATACTCCTCCTCTGCTCCCTGCTTCTCCACCTTCTCTGAATGCCACGATATTTGCATCCCAATAGAATAGAAGCCCTCTCCTCCGCAATCCTCCTGAGTTCTGCCTGGCTTCTGTTCAGGGCTTACTGCTCAGGCAGGTGTGTGTGCACTCACACACTTGCACACATGGGCAGGTTCACATTCTTTAGCACTCAGTGGGCGCATCTTGGCAAGCTAGGTCTGTGTCCCTTATATGCACCTGCATTTGTGTTCCTTTGAGCATGCCCTGAGCTCCACGGTGGAGCCTTCTGCAGTCCTGTTTGTGTTGATACGTGGCAGGCCAAGGTAGGGAGGAACAGAGGGGAATGGCAAGTTTTATAACAGGGCATCGAGTGGCAGCATTTGCTGTGTTGGCTGGTGCCACCACACCTCCCCTTCAACCCCTTCATCTGCTCCCATCCACCACCCTGTCCCTCCATCCATCTGTACACCACATAAGCCAGGAGACTGTGCCAAGCCGGACCCCTGGGCAATGGTCACATGTGGATTCTAAGGCCCACTGTGGGTTACTGTGTGAAAAGGAGCAGTCCCTTCCCTGACTCTTAATAGCACTGCTTGGCCCCACAGCCAACATTAAAACTAATTACCATGAGCCATCAGAGATCCCATGATCAACCTTATTAACTGATTAACCAGCGACTATTCGGCATGTCCACATTCCACAATGCATCCTCTCCTCCATAACGCCTCCTACTGAGGACAGTTCTGATCACATTCCTCCCCAGGGCAAAACCCTTCAAGGGCTCCCTATTGCCTGTGACACCAAGCACAAGCGGGGCCAGGTGTCAGTCCCTCCGCGCCAGGGCCTCTGTGAGAATGCTTTCCAGCCGCATCATCCACTGTCATCACAGTTTTCCCATTCCAGCTGAAGAGGCTATTTGCTGCTTTGAAAGAACATCCTTCTGGCAACTCCACACCATTTTTTTTGTCTCAAGCCACATCCTCCATCCAGAAGGCTCTGCTCTCCGCACTTCCCACATTGTGATCTTACCCATCCTTTGAGGCCCATCTTGAATGCCCTCTTTCCCATGGAGCCTCCATGACCCAGCCCACAGACCCTGCCTGCCCGCTCCATGGAACTGTCTTTGCCCTTTGCACCTCTCCTATGTCTCAGTTCATATTGTTTTTCTTTTTCTTTTCTTTTTTTTTTTTTTTGAGACTGAGTCTCACTCTGTCACCCAGGCTGGAGTGCAATGGCATGGTCCTCACTGCAACCTCCATCTCCCGGGTTCAAGCGATTCTCCTGCCTCAGCCTCCCAAGTAGCTGGGATTACAGGTGCCCGCCACTATGCCCAGCTAATTTTTGTACATTTAGTAGAGACGGGGTTTTGCCATATTGGCCAGACTGGTCTCAAACTCCTGACCTCAGGTAATCCACCTGCCCCGGCCTCCCAAAGTGCAGGTGTGAGCCACCGCACCTGGCCTCAGTTCACATTCTTTCATATCACAATAATCTGAGCCACTGGAATATTCTTTCTTATTAATCATAGGCTCTCTGGGGAAGTAGGGTTCTGTTGTACTCATACTGGCATGCTTGGCATTCTCTGCACCCAGTGGATGTTCTGTGAATATCTGTTGAATGGAATTGACAAATGGTGGCACATTTTAAAGGGTTGCCCTTTCTTCTGGAGAGAAGGAGGATCCCTGTTGCAAAGCCCAAGTCTCCAGGAGCCCCTGATCACCTGTTCTTAGGGGGCTCCACAGTTCCTCAAGGTAGAGAGGCACCAGTTACCTATGAAATGTACTTGAACAGCTCAGAGGTGAATTCCAGGGAAGAGATAGGGGCTGGCCTTGGGGCAGAGGTCCTGGGAAAGGGGTGGGGAATGACGTGGCTTATGAATCCTCCAGAAGAGAAGATACTGCAGCAGAGAAAGGCAGGTGAGTGGCCAGAGGCTCCCTAAGTGTGTGAGGCCCTCTGAGACCAGGCTGCCTCCTGGGGGGATAGAGAAGGAAGCTCCCTGTGGGGACAGGGCCAAGAGGGAGAAGAATTGAGGGACTGTAGAATTTACTTTCTGCTTCTGTATTTTGGGCTTGAATCTGGGACAATGATCTTTTCCCTCAGCTGGAGATGAGAACCGAACAACGAAAGTAGTGCCTGCTGTGCCTTCAGTCAGACCTCTCAGCCTGGGGGCGGGGGTGTGCCAAGGAGAATGGCACAGGTAGAAGGCTTCACACGAGGAGGTCCCTTCTTTCAAATGCTTGAAAACAGGACCACACCTGCCAGTTTCTCAACAGTGGTCTGCAATGCAAGGGGCCATAGAAATTCTCAGACAAGCATTCCTGTCCCTGGTTACATCTTAGAATTGCCTGGGAGGATTAGAAACTCCTGCAGCCCTGGCCCAGCCCAACCAATGACATCAGAATCTCTAGATGGGGCCCGAACACAGGTCATAGTTAAAGCTCCCCAGGAGATTCTAATACTAACGAATGGGCACAAAGGGTCCCCTACCTCCTCCTGGGCAGATGGCCTTTGTTTCATACCCCAAGATGCACTGGCCTGTTTGGAGGGCTGCACCTCGGGTGCCAGGGCCTGGGTTGAAGTGGAAGGGGCTTTGGAAATGCAAATGCTTTGGAACCCTCCCTTCCCAAGCCTGGCCTGACCTCTCTCCCTGAAGGGTAAAGCCCCAGGCCCCAGGAAGCTGGCAGAGTGTATTACTCTGTTCCCACGCTGCTAAGAAGAACTGCCCCAAACTGGGTAATTTATAAAGGAAAGAGGTTTAATTGACTAATAGTTCTGCAGGGTTGGGGAAGTCTCAGGAAACTTACAGTGATGGCAGAAAGTGAAGCAAACATGTCCTTGTTCTCATGGCGGCAGGAGAGAAAAATGGGTGCCCAACAAATGGGGAGCCCCTTATAAAACCATCTGATCTTGTGAGAACTAACTCTCATGAGAACAGGATGGGGGAACTGCCCCCATGATTCAATTATCTCCACCTGGTCCCTCTTGTGACATGTGGGGATTATGGAAACTACAATTCAAGATGAGATTTGGGTGGGGACACAGCCAAACCATATCACAGGGGCAGGCAGTAGTGGGCTACAGGCAGTGCCTACTGGCTTCAAAGGAATCAACTTCTAAATTTTCAGGAAATTGTTAAGTCTATTATTAAACAAGCCAGTATTCAATATCAAATTATATTCCATTACAATTAAATATGTTATATTAGGCCAGGCATGTTGGCTTCTATAATCCCAGCACTTTGGGAGGCTGAGGCAGGCAAATGGCTTGAGCCCAAGAGTTCAAGACCAGCCTGGGCAGCCCTGTCTCTACAAAAAATATAAAAATTAGCCAGGTATGGTGGTGCACACCTGTGGTCCCAGCTACTCAGGGGGCTGAGGTGGGAGGATCACTTGAGCCCAGGAGGTTAAGGCTATAGTGAGCTGTGATCGTGCCACTGCACTCAAGCCTGGGTGACAGAGTAAGACTCTGTCTCAAAGGAAAGAAAAACACACTAAAACCAAAGGAGACAGTCAAAACTCCTCACTTCCTAATTATTTTGCCACGTTACTATCGTCTGTGTTTGAGGTTGTCATGTCCACTCTATCTGTGGGGTGGAAATGTTATATAATGGTGCACAGCTGTGCATCCATCCCTCCCCAACTCTGCAATTAAGGACACTATGTTGATAGTTTGAAATCAGCTTTGGTGAGAGTATTTATACCACAGATACGGATGAATGTTACAAATCAAAGCATTTTTGCTCCAGAGAACTGGTTGTTAAACATTTGTCAGTACACCACCGTGTGTGTGTTTGCTGTACAGGGATTCTGGGGATGGGGACACAGCCACCTTTGTGGGACCACTCTCCTGACAATGGAGTGGAACGCACTGATTTTAGGACCAGAGGCCCCTGAAGTCTCCGAGGTCCAGCTCAGTGACAGATGTGGGCACAACTGCCACCCCAGGCAGACAGAGAGAGGGGCTGGGAGGCAAATCCTCCTGCCCTCACTCTTGGTGAGAGCCGCTGGGCAGGAGCTGTGGGCATGGGGCGCAGTGGCAGTCTGGGCATGAATGAATGCATGGCGCAGGCCAAGTGTCTGCACTGAGAGCCGGTGAGGCATGGCCAGAAACAGAGAATGAGGAGTGGATGCCACCCAGATCCGACTTGCAAGCAGGAAGCTTGGATCCTCACTGAGGCCAATCTCATCCCTTCAAACCCCTTCAAATCTCAGGGGCTCTGACCCAAGAGCTCCTGCCCACTGCAGGAATAGCACCCAGGCCAGGCGTAGGCAGGCACTGCCTGTGGCAAGGTGCCTAGGAGCTGTGTCCCCAGGAACAGCATGGAACCAAATGGAGCACCCTGGCCGGCGAGGCTGAAGACCAGCTTTGTTATTATTTCATGTTCCCCGGGGTTCCTAGAACCAGATCTTGAACACAGTAGAGATCTAACTAATGATAACAGCTAACAATGATCAAGTGCCAGGCTTTACGCATGTTAACTAACTGAAACCTCTTTAACCTGCACACCGTGATCATCCCCATTGAACAGATAAGGTAGGTGAGGCAGGGGGGATAAGTAACCTGCCCAGGGTAAGGAAGTCATGGAGCCAGGATTCGTACCAGGCAGGCTTGCTCCAGAGTCCATCTCTTACTGTCGACCCCATTCCCTCCCTGCTAAATGAGGGAGGCAGTGTGAAACACCACATGACGGTTGGGGAGATATTGGGGTGAGTTGGGGCGTTGAAGTCACAAAGCCGAGGCTCGGCAACTTGCTGAATGACTTTGGGCAAGCTGCTCATTCCTCATCTGGGTTATTGTGATGATTTTAAAAAAGAAAAAAGGCCAGGCGTGGTGGCTCATGCCTGTAATCCCAGCACTTTGGGAGGCCAAGGCGGGTTGATCATCTGAGGTCAGGAGTTCGAGACCAGCCTGGCCAACATGGCAAAACCCCGCCTGTACTAAAAATACAAAAATTAGCCGGCTGTGGTGGCGCGTGCCTGTAATCCCAGCTACTCAGGAGGCTGAGGTAGGGAGAATTGCTTGAACCCAGGAGGCAGAGGTTGCTGTGAGCCGAGATTGCGCCATTGCACTCCAGCCTGGGCAACAGAGCAAGACTCCATTAAAAAAAGAAGAAGGGGTAGGGGAAGGGGAAGGGGAAGGGGAAGGGGAAGAAGAAGGAGAAGGAGAAGGAGAAGGAGAAGAAGAAGAAGAAGAAAATGTTGTGAAGGGCCCAGCACAGTGCCTGGTACATAGTTGGAGCTCAGACTTAGGAGATCATGGTGTTATTGCCAGGCATTAGGGACCTGGCTCCAGCCCAGCACTTCAATCACCAGCGTGGGGCTCAGGCAAGTCCCCCCACACCTCAGTGACCACATCTGGAACAGGAGGGGACAGGGCTACATGATCTCTGAGGTCCACACCAGCATGAATATTCTCGCCTCTATGAATAAAGCAGGTAAGAGCAGGGTGATGTGAGTGTCAGAAGAGACTGGCTGTGCTTTAAAATCCTGTGATTAGTGTTTGAACAGACACACAAAAATAAGAATTATCCAAGTGTGGTCGGGAATCTTGGGTTCTTTCATTAAGTTAACAGAATTGCCAACGAGGTAGCATTTGGAAACACAAAATGACTCAATTCATCCCTTGCTGATGGGAATCTTTAAGGGGAACACAACCCTTCCAGAAAGATCTAGATGAGAAAGCAGCAGATACGGGCTCAGCTGCTCAAACTAGCCCAGTCCAGGCTTGAAGCCTCATTCATGATCCTCTTATTGCCATTTCTAAATCAATCACAGGACAGGGCGCTCAAGGGAACTGCTGAGAAGTGGCAGGAATAGGAAAGCACCCTGGGGACTGCTTCTGAAACCTGCAGCTCCCACCCCTGCCAAACAGAGTTGGGGAACTGTGGGGCAGGGTTTGCAGGAGCACCAGGCCTTGCCCCTCAGATGGGAAATGTCCAGGAGTCAGACAATAGAAAATTTTCCAACTGGAGACTGTGGGAGGCTTAAGAAAAAAAGTCAATGTATAAAATCAAATCTCATGATGAACACCCAGAATGTGGTGTCAGCACCACAATCCAAGGCTGCAAAAATGGATTTGAACTAAACCTTATGTGTTTACACCACACTAGGGCAGCCCCTCACTTGTTTGTCTTTGTCTTCCCAGCCTCCTAACATAACACCTGGCATGTCCCAAGCACTGACCCACATGAATGTCTTAAATAAAGGAAAACGGGCAAATCCTAAGTCACCTGGCTTGGCTTCGGGAAACTACCATGACCTGGTAAATCAGCTTTGTCTGATGGGAACCCTGGTAGCTTTTGAGCTCCCTCCAAGGCCCAGAGAGAGGTCGCATCCACAAATGGGCTAGGTTAAAACTACAGCACCAGCCCCTGGTTGCTACTTTCTCATGCAGCCTCCAGAAATGATTTGAATGTCACAGCACCTCTGTGTCTAGCTTATTCTGCTTCAAAACAATCTCAACTTCATACCAAATACACTTTTCTTCATGTTGCCATCTGTTCCGATTGCAGGGGAGAGCATGCGGGCTTTTTCACCCATTTGGAGACTCTGCCTGCAGAATCCTCAAGACATTCATTTCATTCATTCGTTCACTCTTTTTTTCAGACAAGGGTTCTTAGGATCATTCATTCATTCTATACAGATTTGCTGATACTGTACAGGTTGCCTCTCAGAATCCAGTGCCTGTTCTCAGTACCTATGCTGACTGGTAGGAGGGATAAAGACAGCCTTACACCCTGGGAGAGGCGGTCCAGAGTAGAAACATCAGACACTGTAGGAGAAAGAGCCAAAGAACAGGAGGCAACAGCCAGACTTGCATGTTAGATGGTTGGAGTCTGAAAATATCCAGAGTAAAGAAAGGTAGGTGTAACCTAGTATTTGAAAGTGCTAAACAGCAAGCCAGCGCTCAGGGCAAGTGGCCAGGAAGCTTTCCAAGAAAAACTTCTGGGAGGATAAAGGGAGGTCTGTGAAAGGACCGACCGCAAAGTCGGGCGGGTACTGCACACATGACCCATTAACTACGGCTCTTCCGGCCTTGCCAGGTTCTTCGAGCGGGCACCCACCCGGTATCCTTCCCTCCTTCAACCAACAAGTACTGACCTTGCCCGAATGCTGGGTGCTGGCCCTGTGCGCCGGACGGAAGGGCCTGATTTTCTCGCATTTTCTCTAAGCGCTGGAGGCTGCCCGCCTGGGGCGTCTCCAAGCACTAAACCCCACGTGGCTCCATCTCCTCCCCCTTCCCCGGCTACATCCATGCGAGGTCCCTTATGCCCTGCTGGCTGTGCCCCACTTGCCAGGGAGCGCCTTCCTGTGAAGGGGAATCTGGGGAGGCCCCCGCCCGTGCCTGCCCACTTCCTACTCTGAAACCACAAACCTCTAGGAAGGCCCCTCGCCCCGTCGGGTGGAAAATTGGCTCCTCGGGGTTCCTTCAACCCCAAAGTCCGGGGGCAGGGGGCTGAATTTCGATCACCGAGGAGGGCGCTAGTGGAAGGGGGAGGGGAGGAGGCGCTCCCTCGGCCTTACCCGGGCATGAGTCCAGGGGGCACGTAGGCGGCATTGAACTCGGTCAGTAGGGTGCCCGCGCTGCGGGAGGCCATGGTGGGTGCGCGAGTACAGCGAGCCTGGCGCTCCGCTCCGCCCCACGGTAAACAGCGGCGGGTCACCTGGCAACGGCCACGGCGGCGAGCCTGGCAACGCCAGCTGGCCCCGCGGTCCTCGCGTTCCGAGACACTGCGCCCCCCTGGCGGCCACCTCCCGGAGCAGCCCCATAGGGCGCGCCCAGAAGGCGCCTCCCATTTCCGCGAGCTCTGCTGGGTGACCCCTGTCACTTGCCCCGGCGCGTCGGGGCTCTCTGCCTTGCTGCCTGCGGGATGTGCAGAGGCTCAGATGCGGGAGGGAGGCAGAACATCGCTGGAGAGGCCTGGCGGGATCCGTCTTGCGGTGACCCGGCTTGGAACGCGACGCTACCACAAAGGACAGGCCAGGTCCTGACTTTGGAGGTCACGCACGAAGCAGCTGCCCCACCGTGGCTCAGGCCCAGAAACCTGAGTGGCCTTAGGGTCCCCAGGAGCTATGTCTCTCCAAGGCTTCCCCTGCACCCCAGCTCCATGGGAGTTCCAGGAAGGGGCTCTGTAGTGGGCCGCGCTGGGCGAGGTTGCCTAGGACGCTGTGTGTAATTGTGTGTGTGCGTGCGTGCGTGCATGTGTGCGTGTGTGTGTGCGCGCCTTGCGAAGAGGAGCATTTTTCATTTTTCTTCTTAATCTCTAGCTGATGGCTTCCTTCTCACCTCATCATACCTGTAAACTACTCCACAAGAGGCAAAAAGAAAATCATAGAACGTCTGGGTGTGTGATTTACATTTGTCCCCAATGCTGCCGTTCATTTTGGGGATGGCATCCGCAGGGGTAGCGCTTGCCCCAGAGAGCAGGCCTGCTGAAGGCCCACCCCCTGTGTAATCCTCCCTGTGACTGCTTCAGCCTCCACATTTGAGTTTCTCCAGGGACCCTTACACCAGCCTTGGTGCCTAGGGCAGGCACAGGGCCTTCGGCTTTTCCATAAGGGGTGAGGGTATGGGGACAGCTTCCACGGTGCCAGGCTCTTGGTGACTCGGGTGGAGGCCCTGCCACCCCAGCTCCCTCTGCAGCAGTCCTGGTGTCATGAAGAAGCCTGGCAGTTCCCACTTTGTCTCCAGGTCTTGCTTCTTCCCTTCAGATGCCGGATGGAGAGCAGTGCTCCCCTCGCACTTCGGTTCTGTAAATGGCAGTGGATGAAGACCGCAGACGCTACTGGGTTCACAGAATGTGGCTGCCACCAGCATTCTCCAAAGACTTCCCCTGGCAAATGCCAATGAAATGAAGGGGAGCCACAGGCTTCCCAGAGGCTCAGGAAGCAGAAACACTGAGGCCTGGTTGGAAAGAGAGCTGTAGGCAAAGGAACGGCTGCAAACAAACTGGGTGGAAGGAAAATCCATCCATCCTTCAGAATGCAGTCATGTCTGTATTTTTCTAAATTCTCATTGGGGAACATGTTCTACAATAAGGAAAACATGAGTCAAAGACCCCCAGCCCTGGTGAGGTTGACCGCCTACTTCCTCCCCCATTCAGGGCTGCCCAGCCAGTCCTGCTGGTAAACCCACCACCCTGCCTTCCACCTGCCTGTGTTCTAGTCCATCTGTCTCGTCTGATTGGGATCCTGTGCCATCCATATCATATTCATCCCTGAATCTCAGCACCTGGCTCTGGAAAGAATTCAGTAAATGTTCATTACATAAATTATATACTCAGTTACCAAAATGGGTAACAGAAGAATGGAAATTAAAAAGTGGGTTCTGGCTGGGAACGGTGGCTCATGCCTGTAATCCCAGCATTTTGGAAGGCCGAGGCAGGCGGATCACTTGAGGTCAGCAGTTTGAGACCAGCCTAGCCAACATGGTGAAACCCCATCTCTACTAAAAATACAAACATTAGCTGGGCATGGTAGCACATGCTTATAGTCTGACCTATTTGGGAGGCTGAGGCAGGAGAATCGCTTGAACCCGGGAGGCAGAGGTTGCAGTGAGCCTAGATCACTCCACTGCCCTCCAGCCTGGGTGACAGAGTGAGACTCTCTCTCAAAAAAAAAAAAAAAAAAAGAGTGGGATCTGTCTCTTAGGTTTTCAGAAAGGCCAGCTGACTCCATTGAGAGCTGCTGAGTGGAATTGCTACCATTTTATGGATGTGGAAAGTGAGATTCAGCATAGATCAATGCCTTGGCTAGGGCAGGATCATGGGCTTTTTCCTAAAGATGCACAGGGTCTATAAGAGGCCTCATGAAATTCACTCCTTTCAGGGGAGGACCTCCAGAGAACCAAGGAAGAAGATATTTTCTGTTGTTGTTGTTGTACCTTGTAGTCACCAAGCCTTAAAAACACAGATCACCTGATGACCTCATGGATGGAAAATGCTAGTGAATTTAGGTGTTTTTTTTTTTAAGACATTAAACTTATCTAGCTTTTGAAAATTTAGCATTCATACTTGTATTCAATAAACAGAATACTCTAAGACATTTTTAAATTCAATATGATTAGATAAATGTGAGAAAGGTAAGCAAGAATTGGTTAGGAAAAAGTGCAAAGGAAAAAAACGTAAGTAGAAAAAGAAAAATAGGGCACAGTAGCAAGGAAATATCTAGAAGGAGGAAAGAAGGCTCTTGGGACATACTGTAGGTTATTTGGAATGCAGAATTCAAAAGAAGTAACCTCTTGTTACCATGCTGTGAAAAATTAGTATTTCTCTTTTTAACCTTTAGACTCTGTTTCAGGTAGATCCCTGAGCTCACTCTTTTATCCTTTCAACAGTAATTGGGCATCCTACGGTGCACAGGATACCATGTGGGGCTCTGGGGTAGAGGGATGCTGTGCTCCAGGGCCCTCCTGAGGTCAGGAGGGGAAAAGGCAAGGGAAGCAGCCCCAGGACTCAGTAAGATGAGAGGAGGCAGGAGCAGCACAGAGGAGGACCCCAACCCAGCTGGGGTGCGGGTACAGAGGCACCTCCAGGAGCAGGCACTCAAGCTGAGTCCAGGGTGGGGTGGAGGGCATTCCACCAAGAATGAATAGCAAGAACAAGGCTGCAGATGACCCTGCACAGATTCCAGCATCAGGGATTCTGGCCCCCAGCGTCCCTTTCCTTGGTGTATGCTGCTGGAAGACAGGAGGGGGCAGTTCTCTTTTGGTCCTTAGAAATTTCCCTATAGACATCCCTTCTCCTGCCCCTAGCAGCTTATAACAGCAGAAGGCCATTCAATTCTGCTCCTCTGGCTGGAAAGCAAACATCAGCCTGGCTTACCTTCGCTAGCCTGCCTGACCCCCAGCCTTGGGGTGGGGCTAGGTTAGTGCCCTGGATCCTTAAACATGGCCCCTGGTAGCACATAAGCCTCTGCTGCCTCCACAACCAGCCATCTCCATCATGCATGGCCTGGTCCTGAGCCTCCCCTCAGGCAGCAGCCCCAGCCTCTCTGCTTCCTGAGATTCAGAAACAGGGATCCCAGGGCAGGGCTCAGGGCCCAGCCTCTTGGGGGCACAGTCTCCAGCAGGGAAGAGGTGGGCGTAGGTGGACAAATACATTCCCTTCTTCTTGTAGTGTGCCCCTGTGGGTGGGAGTGCCCCCCGCCCCACATCCACCCTACCTATGCTCATGCCCACTCCTCTGTGCCCACTACTGGTGGCAGGGCTTGCTTAGCAGGGAAGCAGCAGAGCCCTGCAGAGGGGTGGGCAGAGCCTCCCTTCCAGGAGCTGGGAGAAGACACCTGAAGCTGGACAGAGCTTTATCTGGGAGCCGGCGGCTGCTGAATAATGAATTCCAACTCTGCCGCACTCCCAGGCTGCACATTGGGTGCACACACACACACACACACACGCACACACCGATACACACACGCTGGGCTGACAACTTGGAGGGGCGGGGGCTGTGAGGCTCTGTGAGTCGCTGCAGGAGCAGCTTAGCTCGGCTTGGTTGCCTTGGTCTCTGTGGGCAGCATCGGAGGGGGGTCGGGAGGAGGAGGAGGAGGCAGCGGCAGAGAAGAGAGAGGCGTGTGAGCCGTGCTCCACCGGCTAGCTCCTTCCCGCTGCTCCTGCCTGGCAGTGCCAGGCAGCCCACACCAGCATGGCCTTGCTCATCCACCTCAAGACAGTCTCGGAGCTGCGGGGCAGGGGCGACCGGATCGCCAAAGTGACTTTCCGAGGTAGGGAAGCCGCTGTCTCAGAGGGACGCCAGCTCTGAGAGCTGGACCAGCCCATGCTCTGGAGGTGGCCGGGGATAGGACAGGGCTGGGAGGATGGGTGGGAAAAGTTCTAGCAGGGGCTGGGGCGACGAGCCTTTTCACAGGTAGTCATCTGCCTGGGACTGACTGGCCATTGTGATTTCTGGAAAATCAGGGTCCCCTGTTCTTCCATGCCTGTGTCTCCTTGTGCTTGCCAACATGCCAGTTCCCCGGGCAGGGCACAGAGCCCTCTGCCTGGGGAGGCAGAAGTGAGGACCACATCCCTGAGCTCAGGGAGACCCAGGACCCCCTCCTTCTCTCTCTCTCCCTCTCCTGCAGGTTGATTTCCTTGAGCACAGGGTGGGGGCCGGGTATGGAGCCTGGGGCACCCAGGGTGACTGGGAGAAACCAGGCAGCCAGTAGCTCCCTGGGCCCCAGAGTGATGGGGGACACTGTTGGCTTCTTTTAGATCTATTCATGGGCGGGAACCCCGGGAGCCCCTCGCCTCTCTTCTGTCTGGTCTTTTCTCATCCTTTTCACTCCTGTATTCAGCGACCATTTATTATGATCTACTGTGTCCCAAGGATAGGGGTAGAAACACAGAGCTGAGCACAACCCAGCCCCAGCCCCAAGGAGCCTGCATCTGTTGGGCAGGCGTGGAACAAGCAGGACAGGTATGTGAGACAGAAGGTGGGGGTGCAGCATGCAAGCTACAGAAGCAGCACCCTCACCCAGGCTGGTGACCGGTGGTCAGGGAAGGCTTCCCGGAGGAAGTAACACTCAGCTAATACCCGAAGGACCAGCGGGTGGGAGCTAGGAGAGGAGGTAAGGACTGAGGAGGCAGAGGAAACAGTGTGCCCAGAGCTGAGAGAGGAGCTGAAACTCTGGAACTGAAAGAGGTTCCATGTGTCTACAGCTCAGAGAGGGTGCAGGAGCGGAGGCCAGAGAGCCAAGCAGGGCAAGGAGGCGAGGCTGGACCTGACCCCGGGGACAGCGGAGCCCCTGAGCATTTTAAGTGGGGAAAGGCAGGGCCAGGCTGACTCTGTCCTTCACCACCCACCTCTGCCTCTCCATGTGGTTGCTGCCCAGCCCTGAGGGTTGGGGGTACTTCTCACTAGACATGGCCCCTTCTCCCGAGAGAGGGGTCTGAGAGTGGGATGGGGACGAGGTGGTGAGAAGGGGGCAGAGAGGACCCCCCTATACTAAAGAGCAAAGTGAGCCTTGGGGCCCAGGCTGGACACAGTGTCTGCACCTCTGTTGGAAGGGATGGGAGAGACCATTGGCAGAACATTCCAGCAAGAGCCCTGGGGCACCCACATCACCTACCCAGAGGCCCTGGGATGCCCACATTGCAGCTTGTGTTCATAGGGACAGGCAGGGGTGGAGGTGATGGCAGTGGCCCTGCCGGCAGGCGGAGGTTAGGCAGGAGGGAGAGGGAGGTGTGGGCTGGGCTGCCTTTTGCCTCCCACCCCAACCCACTGACTGCTTTCTCTGCAGCACCCTGGATCTCCCTCTGTGTGCCACCTGCAGGCTCATGCTGGCTTTAGAAAAAGCAAATGTGTCCTTTCATCTGTGAAATGTGGCCCTGAGCTCCACGGGCAGCATAGTGTGGGGCGGTTAAGCTACAGGTTGCCATCCTGCTGCAGCTGTGCTGGAACGGTCCAGGCTGCACCGGACAGGCCCACTTGCAGGCCGAGAAACCAAGGTTCAGGGGTAGAACACTGCGCGTGGCATTCACGGAGGAGCTGAGGCACGGTGGTCCCAGCTCTCAGGACCTCATCCTGAGTACTCAATCTTGCAAGCTCTTTATCTGCTCCTGGGCCACCTGGGGGCCAGCACCTTGTCTGACACCCATCTTCTCCTTGGAGCAGTGAAGGGCTGGGCCTTTAGCCTCACTGACCACACAGGAATTAGTTTATTTGCAACCCTTGCTCTCTGGACTGAGTGGAGAAATCGCTTCCAAGCTCCACATTGGCAGGAGGTGGCCATGGGCAGAGCTCCTGGGGAAGGGGGCTGGGCAGCAGGAATAGGCAGATGACAAGCAGTTTCCAGAAAGTACCTTTATTACAACGAAAGATGCCTCAGCCGCTCACCTGTGTCATCTAGCAGTTCACAGTTGTAGGCGCCCCAAAAGACCAACACTGACCACAATTCAGAGGGAATGGACCCGCTCTACAATGTTCCTTAGCATCTCCCAGCACATGCAACCACTGGGGGCCAAGCAAGTCCTCTGCAGGGGGAAACAAGAAACTGGTAAACACGCAGAGGGAGACACTGGCCCCAGGCTCCCCAAGGCTTTTGAGTGAAAGTCAATGCCGGGGGAGGTGGTGAGGGAGCCCTTGGTGAGCTGTGCCCATTGGCAGTGGCCCTAGGTAGGCCAGAGCAGCTGGTTGAAATATGGCTTGACCTTCTGTGCTGTGCCATCCAAGACACTAAGGAAAGAGCCCTCCTGGGCTATTGTGGAAAAAGTTCTGGATATGGAGTCAGAAGCCCTAGATCCTACCTGGGTTCTGCCACTCACCCTCAGTTTCCTCATCTGTAAAATGGGCATGATAATAACACTCACTTCACTAGATTGCTTCAGGGAAACCATAGGTATGGAAGAGTTTGTGGGAAGAGTATTCAAATGGTCGATGTGTTTGTGAGGCAGCCATTCCCATTCTCCTTGGGAGCAGCTGCTGGCCCCTGAGGTATCTTCTCTCCAGACCAGCAGAGGGCCCCATGTGAGATATAAAGGGAAGAGGAGAGCACGTCTAAGGGGTTCCAGTCTGCCAGGAGAAGGCAGAGAGCCTGGACTCTGCTCTGTAGGAGCCTCTGCTGAGATGTTCCGCAGGAACCCAGGCAGGCAGACCCCCGAGACTCCTGTTCTCATCTGGCTGGGTGTGCACCAGCTTTGCCCGTGGCCACCTCTTTTCCCACTGCCCTCAGGCCAGTCGGCCCCTCGGTCAGTGCTCCCAGCCAGTTCTGTATCTAGCTCTTAGTTCTTACTGCCCCTGGCTGCTCCTAAGCTGGTGCTGCCCTGTTCATGCATTTCCTGAACATGCTAATATTTGTGCACAGGCCTGGGACCCTGAGGTGAAGGGGCCAGCCTGGCCCTCCAGGAGTCACAATCCCATTGGGTCAGACAGGAGATAGGGAGTCCTGGGCGAATCTCTATTGTGCCTGCAGGCCACAGGGCTCAGCTGGGTTTCTCATTAACAAAATGGAGACAGTGGTCCTCATTTAGCTCAGAGGCCTGCAGTTCCCAGGAGTAATCAAGAGTGGGCTATCTAAGAAGGAGCCATCTTGACCACAGGTTGCTACTCAAAGAGAGGAAGTATTAGCTTCAGGTATTTCCTTTATCAACTCCTGAGATAGTTCCCTACATCAATCACAGAGCCACAGAACGCAGGGTGTGAAGGGTCCCGAAGTTCTTCTAGTCCAACCTTCTGTCCAGTGCTGAGCACCAAGGCTGGGGGACCTGGACTGTAAGGGAACCAAGTGACAGACAGTCCAGGGCCAACCCTGATGTCTCCCTTCTCTTTCTATCCCCTGAGCCTTCTTGCCAAGACATGAGGTTTGGGGATTTTCTGTGTGAGATAAGAACATCTAAAGGCTGGATCTGGCTTCCACATAATTCACTGTGGCTGGAAATTGGCACAAAGGTTTGCAGGGCATCCCCCTCCACCTTTTCATTCTTACTCTTCTTCCCACCCTCCCCCTGATTCCCACCCTGCTATGTTCCCACTACATTCAACTTCCAGCCATTCCCAAAAGATACCACACCCTTTTACACCTCCAAACTTTGAGACATCGATCATATTTCTTCTGCCTGGAATGACCACCCTCCACCTTGAGAACGCCCATTAATTCTGCTCATCCTTCAAGGCCCAGCTCATATGCTACCTCCTCCATGAAGGAGTAGTACTTTGCACACAAAGTACTCCTCTAGCAGTACTTTGCACACATTCTTCCTACTGCTCTGCCAAGGTACATTGCATTTCAGAAACTGGCCACACCTCTGCATGCTGCCCAAGCTTTTGAGCATCTTCAGGACAGACATCAGACATGGTTTCTGTCTTTGAGGGATTCACTGTGTCATGGGTTTGAGTTCTTCCACTGTGGCACTGTCACTCTTTGGCTCCATTTCCCCAACTGTGAGCTCTCACCCCAGAACTTTCTATCCAAGGAGGATCAAGGGACTGGAAGAGGCCTCAAGGGCCAAGAACCAAGAACCTTGGCTCTTACTCCTTCCATCAACTTCCCTAACCCAGAGAATCTTCTAGGGCTCCAGAGGGGCCTAACGATTTTTTTTTTTTTTTTTTTTTTTGAGTCTCGCTCTGTCGCCAGGCTGGAGTGCAGTGCAGTGCGATCTCGGCTCACTGCAACCTCCAGCTCCTGGGTTCAAGCGATTCTTCTGCCTCAGCCTCTGGAGTAGCTGGGACTACAGGCACACGCCACCATGCCCGACTAATTTTTGTATTTTTAGTAGAGACGGTGTTTCACCATATTTCCCAGGCTGGTCTCAAACTCCTGACCTCATGATCCGCCTGCCTCGGCCTCCCAAAGTGCTGGGATTACAGGTGTGAGCCACTGCGCCCAGTCAAGCCTAACAAATATTAGCAAGTTCAGCTCCAGCCCATAGGTGGGAAGCAAGAGGGATTGCGTGTGTAAGCCAGAGTCAGTTAGGGGAAGACAGAGGAAGGAGAAAGGGCAGACGGGAAAGGAGGTGGGAGCAGGCTCTGAGTTGGCCCCCGGAGCTCAGAAGGGAGGCGGGAGTTTTTATTGAGCAGGGGAAATGGGCGGTATTTAAGAAGCCACCGAAGGGTCTTAGTTCATTGGCAGGATCAAAGGCCATGAAAGGGCCAGGCGTGGTGGCTCATGCCTCTTTCCGAGCCTTACTGCGACCACACGTGGGGCAGGATCTCACCATCTGACAGAGGAGAAGAAACATACACACAGAGGTGAAATGAGTGCAGCATACAGGAGGGCCAGCGGTGGGGGTAAATAGCAACAATGTTCAGAGGATGACAGCTTACTTAGAGCTACAGAGACGAGGGAAAAGGAGCAGGAGGAGGAAGTGCCTAAGCTGGGTCTTGAAAAACTGCCCCTGTTTGTACCTATGGAGATGCAGGAAGTGAGGAATTGGTGATGGAGGAAGGTGAAGTCTTTTTGGGTGAGGGACCGACCAGACCAGAGGCCAGAGGAGGAGAATTGCAGCCAAGTTCCATGTCGGGGAAGCCACACCATGTAGCTGGAGCAGAGGCTATAGGAAGTAGAAGAGGGAGACCAGCTAGGGAGGGAGCAGTGGGCCTGCTGAGTGATTGTGCAGGGAAGGGTTGCAGCTGAGGCACTGGGGACAAGATGTCCCCCTACTGTTGGCTGCAGGCTCCACCTCTGACTCCACATTACATTTATTTTCCCCAGTAAAATGAGGGAGCCCTCCCTCTTGATGATAAATATAGCTACTATTTGGAAACTTATCTGCCGCCCCTGGTAAAGGAGGCAGAATACCCAGTGCACCCACCCCTGAAATGCTCCTGCAATGCCTAGGCCTGTCTGTGGGCTGTGGTCCAGCCTAGCACCCCCTCTCTTGGAGAATGTGAGGTTGGCATTGTCCCTGCTGAAGGCAGCAATAGAGGGGACCCTTACGACGACCTTGGCAGCCGGTGGCTGGCTGTGGACACAGCCCTGCGCTTTTGTTTTAGTCCTAACGGATATGCCCCCTGCATCCTCCATTCTTCACAGCACACTCAGTCCCCCTCACCACACCTGAGGGAAATCTTCTCTGCCTAATGCCCCACGTAGTGAATGTTCTCCCCTCCTCCCTCCCCCAGAGCAAGCCATTGCACACCAGCGAAGGGCAGACAGAGCACACAGAAAATTCCCCAGACTTCTGCTTTGATAGGAAGTGTATTTTCATGTAATGGAAATGATTGTAAAACTGCCTTCCCCTGCAAAAGCCCTCAGGAATATGCTGCTGGAAATGTGCTTGAGAACAGACTTGCAAATCATTTCTCTGAATTGGGAAGTCTTGGTTATCTTAGCCACTTTTACCGATCATGTGAAAGCCACATCTCTCGCACCCACTCCCATCCCTGGGTCTCATTTTTTTCTTTTTTCTGTCGCCCACGCTGGAGTGCAGTGGCACAATCATAGTTCACTGCAACCTCAACCTCCTGGGTTCAAGCGATGCTCCCACCTCAGCCTCCCGAGTAGCTAGGACTACAGGCACGCACCACCATGCTCAGCTAATTTTTGTATTTTTAGTAGAGATGGGGTTTCACCATATTGCCCAGGCTGGTCTTGAACTCCCGGGCTCATGTGAGCTGCCTGGCTCAGCCTCCCAAAGTGCTGGGATTATAGGCGTAAGCCACTGTGCCTGGCCTTTTTTTTTTTTTTTTAACTTTTTATATATAAAAAAACTCTCAAATACATACAAGAGTGGGGAGAACAGTATCATGGCCCTATGTTGTACCATCCAATTTCAGCTACCATCAATTCATGGCCAATCTTGCTTCATTTGCATCCCATCCTACTTCCTCACCCCAAATTATTTTGAAGAAGATCCCAAACCCCATACCATTCCATCTGTAAATATTCAGTACACAGTTATAAAAGATAAGAGCTCAAATAAATACCACATACTTTGTCATTTTAAAGAAATTAATAACAATTCCTTAGTACTATAAACTAATCAGGCAGTCATCAAATTCCTAATTGTCTCATCAATGTCATAATTTTTTTCCAATTTATTAAAAGCTTCATTTTAATGTGTTTTGTAAATCAGGTATTTAATCATTTATCCACTCGTTCTGTTGAAGGGCAGCCATGTGCCACGCACTGGGGGATGGTGGGGAATGAGACAGATGTGGTTCCTGTCCTCAAAGGGGGAAGATGACCACTGCACCCATCATCATGAGGAGCTTTATGGAAGGGAGGCACAGGTGCCCAGGCAGCTCATGGTGAGGAAACCCACTTAGCCCAGGATGGGGGGAAGCCACCCCAGTGCGTGAGCCAGAGTCAGTTAGGGGAAGACTGAGGAAGGAGGAAGGGCAGATGGGAAGGGAGGGAGGAGCAGGCTCCTAGTTGGCCCCTAGAGCCCGGAAGTGAGTCAGGAGTTTTTATTGAGCAGGAGGAATGGGCGGTATTTAAGAAGCCCTTGAAGGGTCGCAGCTCATTGGCAGGAACAAAGGCCATGAAAGGGCTGGGCATGGTGGCTCACGCCTGTAATCCCAGCACTTTGGGAGGCCAAGGCGGGGGGGATCATTTGAGGGCAGGAGTTTGAGACCAGCCTGGCCAACATGGTGAAACCACATCTCTACTAAAAACACAAAAATTAGCCGGGCGTGGTGGTGCACGCCTATAATCCCAGCTACTCGGGAGGCTGAGGCAGGAGAATCGCTTGAACCCAGGAGGCAGAGGCTGCAGTGAGCCGAGATTGTGCCACTGCACTCCAGCCTGGGCGACAGAGCGAGACTCTGTCTCAAGGGGGGGAAAAAAGCCATGAAAGGCTCCATCCCAGGCAGAGGGGCTAACACTAGTGCAGACGTGGTGGTGTGGAGATGCATCAGGGGAGTGTGGAGGGGAGACCGGAAGGCAGGGCACGGGGGACGCAGCCAAACACGGAGGGTCTTTGGTGTCACACTCTTAGCAGGAGAATGGGATGCTAAGATCTTGTTTTGGAGAGAAGGCTCTAGAGGTGAGGACTGCGGGCAGGGACACTGGGGAGGAAGCCCGGGGCAGGCGGAGGGCTGAGTGCCTCAGCAGGCGCCATGAGAGAGGAAGGAGCGGCGCTGGGATCAGGGGAGTGAGTGACAGGGCAGGGCAAGAGTCAATTGTGGTCCTGGGGACCACCGCGGACCCAGGGATTTGGGGTACAGGGCCTTAGTTGATTCTCATCTAGACAGGTGCCAGTTGCTGACACCCTGAATTCTGGCAAACATGGAGACATCAGGGTGGAAACACCTGGAGCCACTGCCATCCAGGTGGGCGCCTTGAGGGCCAGGCCCCTTGGCTGCTTTCCCAGCAGCAGCATGGAGCCTGGCACAGAACAGACCTGGCATAGAAGTGGGAGCAAGGAACACCGCCTGTGGGTGCAGGAGCAGTGATCAGTTAGCAACAGGGGCCCCCCTGCAGCCAGCCATCCAGGCAGCACCAGACAGTGATCCATTTCTCTCGGTGACAGTTCTAGAAAAGGCTCCGGAGACAGGGACTATCATGTGATCATTTTTACCCTAGACCGCTTGACCGCTTTCTGTCTGAACTGATCCACCTGCTAGACGCTGCCTCAACAGTCCTCGTTTCTATTTTATTTTCTTTTACTTCAAAGCAGAAGGGCTAATCTGCTGAGGTGGAGACGAGTTTTCACCCACTGGCTTTTTTTTTTTTCAGCCGAAGTTTAAGGTAAAGTCAGGACTGCAGTTTCCACAATATTTTTACCCTATCGGAGAGTAAAAGAGTCACCCTCCCATTATACCTCATTGTATTCCCAGTGCCTGGCACAGAATGGGTACTCTACACACTTGTGGATCACTGGGACCACAAGCTCCTCTGTCACCGTAACAGGGGAATCTAGGACCCAGCAGTTGATGACTGTGTGGGTGGCACTGTCCAAGGCTCAAAGACAAATACCACAGGCCCTTCCTGCCTCAGTGCCAGGGTCTGAAAAATGGGAACCAGCGCTTTCAGTCGGTTGCAGGGCAAAGTCAGAGTTTGAGTGAGGACCTGGAAGAAGGGTTTGAGCTGAGCCAGAGAGATGGGATTTATCATCCCTGCCCTGCCCCTGCCTCTCAGATGAATCCCTGACCCAAGCCTAAGTTTCCATAGTGTAAACCTGGATGTTAGCAGGGTGGGTTAAGGGGAAATACATGAGTGGAGGTAGAAATGATATTTTAGTACAATTTGTGGATAATAAAGGGTTAGAGTTCCATGGGGCCTCCATTTAGCTGAGAAATGGGGAAAATGGAAGGGGTAACCTTTTCCAGTGGGAGGCCCAGGGACTCTGCAGTATCCCAAGTCTGGCTCTGTGAGTCATTGGTGATTTTCAGAGAGTATACTATGTAAGAAACATGAGGAACAGCTGCTTTCTTGGACAACTCTTTGAAGTGAATTTCTTTCTTCTACCATGCCATCAACTGTCATTATAAAATTGAAGATGTGTTTCTCATGGGGAAAAAAATTGTTATTACAAGAGATATGGGCAATTAGACAAGTCTCAATACATTTCAAAAGACTGAAATCTTACAGAGTATGTTCTCTGACCATAGTGGAATTCAGCTAAAAATCAATAATAAGAAGATTATCTTTGAAAGTTCCAAATATTTGGAAATTAATGCCTTTCTTAACCTATGGTCAAAGAAGGAAGTAAAAGAGAAATTATGAAACATTTTTAACTGAATTATAATGAAAATACAACATATTAACATTTATCATTTTAAGTACTTACAGCAGAAAAGAAGAAAAGTGTAAAATTGTAATCTAGGTTTCTGCCTTAAAAAGATACCAAAAGAAAAGCAAATTAAACCCAAATCTTGAAAACATTATGTTAAATAAAAGAAGCCAGACACAAAAGACCACATACTGTATAACCTCATTTACAGTCAGGCATCGCTTAGTGATAGGAGTACATTCTGAAAAATGCATCATTAAGCGATTGTGTCATTGTGTGAACATCATAGAGTGTACTTACACAAAGCTAGATGGTATAGCCAACTACACACCTAGGCTACATGGTATGACCTACTGCTCCTAGGCCACAAACGTGTACAGAACGTAACTGTATTCAATGCTGTAGGCAATCATAGTACAATGGTAAGTATTTGTGTATCTAAACATAGAAAAGATACAGTAAATACAATATTATAATCTTATGGGACCACTGTTGTATATCCAAGTGGTCGTTGACCAAAACGGTGTTATGTGGTGCATGAATGTATACGAAATGCTCAGAACAGGCAAATCCATACAGAGAGGAGATTTGTGGTTGTCAAGGGCTGTGGGGAGGGAGAATGGGGAGTGACTGCTCACGGGTATGGAGTCTCCTTCCAGGGTGATGAAAATATTCTGGAATTAGGTAGTGGTGATGGGTGTACAACCTTGGGAATATACTAAAAACGACTGAACTGTGCACTTTAGAAGGATGAATGTTATGGAATGTGAATTATATTTCAATAAATAAAAATCAAACACCCCCCACCAAATTAAACCCAAGGACAGTATAAAAGGAAGGAAATAGAAAATAGACAACAGAGAAATTTAACAAAGCCAAAAGTTGGTTCTTCAAAAAAAATTAATAAAATAGATAAACCCTAGCAAGACTTATCAAAAATAAAAAGCAAGAAAACACAAATTACCAATATCAGGAATAAAAGAGGGAATATCATTACATTTAAAGGAAAATATGGGAATATTACCAATAACTTACCTCAATAAATTCTACAACTCAGATGAAATGAATAAATCTTTTGAAAAACAACTTACCAAAACTGACAGAAAAAGAAATGGAAAATCCAAAGAGCCTCCATATCTATTAAAGAAATTGAATTTGTAATAACAATGATGATGATGACAATAAACTTCCTTCCACAAAGAAAACTTCAGATCTAGATGATTTCACTGCTGTATTGTAGAAAACATTCTTTTTTTCTTTTTTTGAGATGGAGTCTCGCACTGTCACCCAGGCTGGAGTGCAGTGGCGCGATCTCAGCTCACTGCAACCTCTGTCTCCCCAGTTCAAGTGATTCTCCTGCCTCAGCCTCCCGAGTAGAGCAGCTGAGACTACACGCAGGTGCCACCACGCCCGGCTAATTTTTGTATTTTTAGTAGAGACAGGGTTTCACCATGTTGGCCAGGCTGGTCTTGAACTCCTGACCTCAAGTGATCTGCCCATATCGGCCTCTCAAAGTGCTGGGATTACAGGTGTAAGCCACCACACCCGGCCTGTAGAAAACATTGAAAGGAAAACGTAATAACAATCTTACACAAACTCTTTCAGAAAATAGAGAAGGAAGAGCACATCTCAATTCATTTTTTATTATCAAAACCTGACAAAGACCTTACACAAAAAGAAAATTACAGCCCAATATCTCTCATGAACACAGATGTAAAAATCCTTAACAAAATATTAGCCAACTGAATAGCAATATATGAAAAGAATAACACATCATGACAAGTGAGTATTATCCCAGGAATGCAATGTTAATTTAAAAGTAGAAAATCAAAATATTTTACCATATTAACACAGTAAAGGAAAAAATTCATGATTATATCAATAGATGCAGAAAATGCATTTGACAAAATTCAACACCCATTCATGATAATAACTATCAGCAAACTACCAATAAAAGGAGCTTCCTCAATCTGATAAAAATCATCCAGCTAACATTATACTTAATTCAGAAATATTGAACATTAAGATCATGAGTCAGGCAAAGTTTTCTACTCTCACCACTTCTGTTCAACACTGTGCTAGAATTCTAGCCAGTACAAGGTGGCAAGGTAAAAACAACTCCTACAGATTGGAAAGGAAGAAGTAAAACTATCTTTATTCACAGAAAACCTGATTGGTTATGTAGAAAATCCTAAGGAATCTATTAAAAAGCTACTACAATTAATGAATGAATTTAGCAAGTTTTCAGGATATATGATTAATACACAAGAAAATAAATTTTACCAAAGACAGGAAAGACTTCCACCCTAAAAACAAAACAACACAAAATGCTGAGAGAAATAAAAAAAAAAAAAAACCAAACATGTAGAAAATAGATTATGTTTATGGACTGAAGATTCATAATTGTTAAGATGACAATTCTCCACAAAATGATCTATAGACTGAATGCAATCCTAATAAAAATCACAACAAACTATTTTGTAGAAATTGAAAACTACTTTAAAATTTATGTGGACATGCAAATGATCTAGAATAGCTAAAGCAGCCTTGAAAATGGAGAAGAGAATTGGAGGGTTCACACCACAGCTGACCCCTGAACAACATGGGTCCACTTATATGTGGATTTTTTTTTTTTTTCTTTTTGAGACAGAGTTTCACTCTTGTTGCCCAGGCTGGAGTGCAATGGAGCAATCTCAGCTCACTGCAACCTCCACCTCCCGGGTTCAAGCGATTCTCCTTTCTCAGCCTCCCGAGTAGCTGGGATTACAGGCATGCACCATCACTCCCAGCTAATTTTTGTATTTTCAGTAGAGACGAGGTTTCACCATGTTGGTCAGGCTGGTCTCGAACTCCTGACCTCAAGTGATCCACCAGCCTCGGCCTCCTAAAGTGCTGGGATTACAGGCATGAGCCACTTCGCCTGGCCATGGTTTCTCTTCCTTATCTTTTTTCCTAACATTTTCTTTTCTCTAGCTTACTTTATTGTAAAAGTACAGTACATAATACATATACAAAATATGTGTTAATTGGCTGTTTATGTTATCATTAAGGCTTCTGGTTAACAGTAGTCTATTAGTAGCTAAGTTTTTGGGGAGTCAAAATTTATATGCAGCTTTTCAACTATATGAGGGGCTGGTACCTCTAATCCCTGTGTTGTTCAAGGGTCAACTATATTTAATTATAAGTCTAACTATAAAGTTAAAGGAATTAAGAAAGTGTGGCATTGGTCTAAGAATAGACATATAGACCAATGGAGCAGAATAGTGTCCAGAAATAAACTCTGTACATATAAAATCAATTGATTTTCAATCAAGGTGTTGGATATCTAGAACTAGGTATCTATATGGAGAAAAAATGAACTTCAAACTCCTACCTCATACCATCCACAAAAATTAATGTAAGATGGATTATAGAATTAAACATTAAAAACTTATAAGCTTCTAGAAGAAAATATAGAACATCTTTTTTTGTATTCTTGGGTTAGGCAAAGGTTTCTTAAAGAAAAATTTTAAAAGACTAAACATAAGAAATAAATTTCACTAAAAACTTGCATTTCTTAAAAATTGGAAACTCTCTTTGGCTAGTCACAGAGTAAAAAAAATTGAAAACTCCTATTCATAAAAAAATCACATTTAAGAAGGCAAGAGAAGGCAAGTCACACACAGGAAGAAAATATTCACATTTATCTGACAAAGGACTTGTAGCCAGAATATATAAAGAATCCCTATAAGTCAATAATAATAAGACAAATTATGAAATTTTTTATGTAGGCAAAAGACTTGAAGAGACACTCCATAGAATAAGATAGACGTATGGCCAATAAACATGTGAAAATGTGATCAACATCCTGAGTCATTAGAGAAATGAAGATCAAAATTACAAAGAGATATTATTTCACATGCTCTAAAATAGCTAAAATGTAAAAGTCTGACAGTAATCAAATGTTGATGAGGATGGAACAACTGAAATTTTTTTTACATTGCTGATAAGAGTGTGAAATGATGCAATCCCCTTAGAAAACTATTTGGCGATTTCTTTCTTTTCTTTTCTTTTTTTTTTTTTTTGGGATGGCATCTCGTTCTGTCACCCAGGCTGGAGTGCAGTGGTGTGATCTTGGTTCAATGCAACCTTTGCCTCCCGGGTTCAAGCGATTCTCCTGCTTCAGCCTCCCGAGTAGCTGGGACTACAGGTTCGCACCACCACGCCTGGCTAATTTTTTTTTTGTATTTTTAGTAGAGACAGGGTTTCACCGTGTTAGCCATGATGGTCTCCATCTCCTGACCTCATGATCTGCCTGCCTCAGCCTCCCAAAGTGCTGGGATTACAGGCATGAGCCATTGCGCCCGGCCAGCAATTTCTTATAAAGCTAAGGGTACCTATCCTGTGACATAACCATTCTGTTCTTAGGAATTTCCTCAAGAGAAATAAAATTATATTTTCAGAAAAAGACTCACATGAATGTTTACAGCAACTTTGCTCATATAGCCCAACCCTAGAAGCACCCAAAAGTTTATCATCAACAGAGAAATGGACCAAGAAGTTGTGGTATAGGCATGCAACGGGCTATTACTCTACAATAAAAATCAATACATTACTTATATATGCAACAACATGGATGAATCACAAAAACATTACCTTGACCAAAAGAAGCCAGACACACAAAAAGTACATTCTGTAGGATACCTTTTATATGAAGTTTAAAACAGGCAAACTGATCTTTGGTGCTAGAAATCAGAGCACTGGTTACTAAGGGACTAGAAATCGACTGGAAAGGGACATGAGAGAACATGTGGAACAAATGGAAATGTTCTATGTCTTGATTGTGTGGCGGTATACAGGGAAATGCATTTATTGAAACTCATTGAATTTTACACTTAAGATCCATGAATGTAAGTTTCACCTAGTTTTAAAAAAAGAAGAGAGACTCACATCTAAAATACCTAAAACTTGAAAAATATTATATAAGATGAGGAAAAAAATTATTTCTGATTCCATGCTACTAAAAATAAGCTACAAATGTGATTCATAATAGAAGAAGCCATTTTTATATTTAGCACATAACTTAAAGGTCTAAAGGACAAGCAAGCTGGGCGCAGTGGCCCACGCCTATAATCCTAGCATTTTGGGAGGCCAAGGCAGGAGGATCACTTAAAGTCAGGAATTTGAGAACAGCTTGGCCACATGCTGGTGAAACCCTGTCTCTCTAAAAATACAAAAAAAGTTAGCCAGGCATGGTGGCACACGCCTGTAATTCCAGCTACTTAGGAGGCTAATGCAGGAGAGTCACTTGAACCCAGGAGGTGGAGGTTGCAGTGAGCGGAGATTACGCCACTGCACTCCAGCCTGGGTGACAGATCAAGACTCCGTCTCAAAAAAATAAATTCAAAACAAAATAGAATGAAGGAGAAACAAGACTATTTAGTAGACTGAGAATAGCTGTTTCTTATTGAGGGATAAACTGCACCAAATGCTATTGTAAGCATTATTATTTCCTTCATTTTAAGGGTGAGGAAACAAGGGCAAAGAGAAGTTAATTAGCTTCATCCAGGGCACGCAAACTAGGAAGAGGCAGCTGGGATTTGAACTCAGGGACTCTGGCCCAAGAGCCTTAACCTCTATCCCATGCCCCCTCGTGCTTGTAAAGGACTTGATGCTTTACTTAGACTTTCCCACAACAGTTTCTTGTCATCCTCGTGATGGTCCCAGGACACAGGCTGGTCCAGGATAATGACCCCCGGCTAACAGATGGTGAGTCTGAGACCCCAAGGGGTTGGATGGCCAGCTCCCAGGCCTCCAGACCATGGGCCGTTGTGCCGGGCCGCACACCTGAGTGGGCCTGGCTTTTTCCTGCACGCAGGGGTGCTTGGGCCCTGCTTCCTGGTGCTCCATGGGAGTATCTGGCCTTCAAAAGGAACAGATCGATCTGAAGTGGGGAGAGAGAAAATACAGCAGGACCATCACTCAGAGAGTCGCTGTAGAGGAAGAGAGGGAGAGGAGACGCCAGGACATGGGAGCTTTGTGGGAGGGAATGGGACTATTTGCTGAGCTTTGTACAGCCCAGCCCAGGCAGTGCATACAACAAGGCTTTGCTGATTTTAAATAACACAAGGAAATAGCAGCCCCAGGTCTGAGTCACCAGCAGAGTTTTACTCTATTTCTCAGCTCACACAGGGACAATAGCAATGGCAGGCACTGCTGGGAGATAGGCTAGTGGGCTGGGCCCTGGCAAAATCACGACGTCCTTGAAAACAGTCCCAGGACCTTCTCCTTCCCCTTCGGATGGCCCACCACCTCACCCTCTGCCCTTTCGGGACCCCAGCCCCTCTCCAGTCTTGCTTCCACAGGCTGCTCCCTGAGGGCAGACCATTCTTGCTTTTCCCTTCACCATCGGGACTCCCCTGTCCTGTGTCCAGCTCCTTGGAGGCTCTACTCTCTGCTCTACGCTTTCAAACATTTCCTTACACTGTTCTCTCTGCCTGGATTTCCCTCCTTCTCCTTGCTTCCCAGTCTCTCTGAATATCCAGATTTCTTCTGGTCTTCTAGCGTCAATGCGTGTGCCTCTGCAATGCCTCCTTAATCCACTACATTGAGAGTCATTGCTCCTTTTCCTGTGTTCTCACTTTATTTACACTTTTTGCATGCCAATGACAAAATTCTGCCTTGTATCATCGGCAGAATTTTCCATGTCTGATATATCTCCCTCTGGATTGTAATACGCTCTTAAAGGCATCGTTCAGATTCGAATGATCTTAGTACAACTCCCCTCTGTGAAGGCCAAATGGCACACAAGCCAGGAGCTAGAAAGCCCTGGTTGCCTGTGGAAATGAATGAACACACATGGGCTGGCAGCCGTGTCCCTGCACACCTGCCTTTTCTCAGAGGTGTGGCCCTAGCAGGGTAAGCTGTCTGGAAGAGGGAGCTATTTTGTGCAGATGGAACATTTTGTCCCCTTAAATCATGTCCCATGAAAGGCCAGCATGGCATCCTGCTTCTGAAACAAGCACTGAGCTCGTCTCCATTTGGAGAAGATCTGTCGTGTGGGTATTTTTAAATGGTGAAAGGAGAAATGGGTATATCTGATACCATGGCACTTGTTACACTTTAAGCACAGACTCTGTTATTCATACTCCATCTATTGACTCAGGGAGGAGTTTATTTCAAACCAAACAGCTCAGCTATCCCAGGAGCAGCTGCCTCAGAAGGAAGGAGGATGCTGTTCTATTTCCCCCATCGAACCTCCTTCTCACTCGATCCACAACAGCCTTTCCATGCAAGGAAGAGGCTATTTTCTTTCAAGCTTTATTCTCCATTTTCCCTGTGGCAAGAAAGGTGATTGGATATTGGGATTTGTAATGGTTTTATCTGAAAGCCATTTAAAATGAAGCTGGAATGTCAACAAGACTGACGCTGAATGGAGTAGATGTGAAGTGGAAATGAACTTGAAACAAGAGATGGGGTTAGTCATCCCCCTGATCACTTGGAACAGATGATGGAGGTCCCCTGCCTCTGCTCCAGTGAACAGAACAGAACCACTTGAATACTGCCAGCCACTGTTTGTACATACCCTCCTGAAACGGCTCTTCCAAAATGCTGAAGGACATTTTGTTTTCTTAATAATTTGGCCTTTCCACTGTTTCTGTATGATTGATGTGTTTCAGCAAACCTTTTTTAAAAAAGAATATCTACAGGTAAATTTAGCTCATCATGTTTGAGAATATTCACCATCTCTAAATCCCCAGGGCCTAAATCAATGAGGTTTTAGCACATTTTGAAACAGAACCCTGATGTATAAATTCTGCAATGGCTGATTTCACGTATTTTACTTCCTCTCTAACAAAGCTATGGAAAAATGCACAAGCAGGGGAGGGTTTGATCCTCGGTGTTTCCTGCAGATGTGAATCTGACACCACCTTGGAGCAGGGCCCCTCCCCACCTTCTCCCAATCCTCCGCTGGGTTGCTGCATTTTTCACTCCAAGAGACCCCGGAGGACAGCTATATCCGAGGCTTATTAAAATCTTCTAGGATGCAAAGGCCTTTGGTTATTCAGAGCAGCAGGTCTTTAGGGGAAGCCCCCATACACAAACATGCTCAGCTGATTCTCAATTTATATTGTGTGTTACCTGCGGGGAAAATTAAAAGCTCAAACCTCAGGCACTTTCCCTCTCCTCCCTTGATTGCCCGGGGGCTTGTTGTTGAGATATTTCTTGTTGATTTTTTTGTTTTTTATGTCTCTGGCTGGTGCTAAACATTCTTTCTTTCCCATCATGTTTACTTCACATCTCTTTGCCGTATAGATAGCTTCTGCTTTATGGTTTTTTCCTCCTTATCTCAGATGCAGCCAGCCCTTCCCCACCTGCCCCCGCCCCAAAACACACACACGAACACACACCCTTTCAGACTGCATCCACACTCTCTGTTTCAGTGGATCTGACATCAACGACCCCGCCACCCCCGGCCCTCGTCAGAGGGGAGCTCTGCATTGAACTAGGACTAGCTCCTGGGTCATAAAAGTTGCTAGGACCCTGGAGAGCTCTTACTAAACAGATGAGGCCACCACTGACAGAGGAGAGAGGTCAGTTCCCGGAGGGAACGAGCCTGCTTTGCTGAGCCCCCTTCCTTGCCCAGCCCCCAGACCCATCACAGGGAAGGTTCAGAGGAGCTCTGACCCCTCCAGTACCTCCTTGGCCTGACGCCGCTCTAGCCCGGGCTCCCAGGTTTTCTGTAGGGAGAGGAGCACAGTCCGCTCCACCCATGCCATGGGCTTCATCAGTGACAACCCAAACTCACCCCCAAATAGGAATGGCTTCAACCTGGAGACAGCCCTTCAATGAAATGGTTTATGCTGGTGGAGATTTAAAGGTATTCGTCTTTCGGCTGGGCGCGGTGACTCACACCTATAATCCCAGCACTTTGGGAGGCCGAGGTGGGAGATCACTTGAGGCCAGGAATTCGAGACCAGCCTGACCAACATGCGAAACCCCATCTCTACTAAAAGTAAAAAAATTAGCTAGGCACAGTGGCGCATGCCTGTAATCCCAACTACTTGGGAGGCTGAGGCACGAGAATCATTTGAACCCCGGAGGCAGAGTTTGCAGTGAGCCAAGATTACACTACTGCACTCCAGCCTGGGTGACAGAGCAAGACTCTGTCTCAAGACAAACAAAAAGGGTGTTTGTCTTTCAATTGCAAAAATCAAGCATGGTCACTGAAAAAAAATTCAAATTCACATTTCATTTTGTTTTGTTTTGTTTTGTTTGTCTTTCAGCCAGGTGCAGTGGCTCACATCAAAGTATGCTGCTTTCAATATCTTCTCACTCTCCCTCCCCAGGGATAACCACTTTCTTTTTTATTTTATTTATTTAACTTTTTTGAGATGGAGTTTCACTAGTTGCCCAGGCTGGAGTGCAATGGCGCAATCTCGGCCCACCACAACCTCCGCCTCCTGGGTTCAAGCGATTCTCCTGCCTCGGCCTCTTGAGTAGCTGGGATTACAGGCATGTGCCACCACACCCAGCTATTTTTGTATTTTTAGTAGAGACGGGGTTTCTCCATGTTGGTCAAGCAGGTCTCGAACTCCCGACCTCAGGTGATCCGCCCGCCTCGGCCTCCCAAATTGCTGGGATTACAGGCGTGAGCCACTGCGCCCAGGGGGGTAACCACTTTCAGTGGTTTGAGATGTTTGTCTCTTCATAGAAGAAATATATGCATATAGTTTGGGTTTTGGTATTTTTTTTAATTAATGGAGTTCTAATATACATGCTGCCTTTTTTCCCTTACCATGGAATTGACACAGGATAATAAATTAATTCTAAGCAACAAATTTTTCTTTAACCCATCCTGTCTCTAGGTTTCTCCTCACAGAAATTACAACCCCTTCTCTTGTGGTTCCATCCCATCCCTAAAACAGTATTTATCCTCCCTTCTCTGTACCATTACTGTTTCTTGTGCGAAATTGTACCTTGGAGTATGTACTGAATGGTGTTGTACTGGAGGCCTGGCGCGGTGACTCATGCCTGTAATCCCAGCACTTTGGGAGACCAAGGTGGGCGGGTCATTTGAGGTCAAGAGTTCCAGACGAGCCTGGCCAACATGGTGAAACCCCGTCTCTACTAAAAATACAAAAATTAGCTGGGCATGGTGGCGGCGCCTGTAATCCCAGTTACTCAGGAGGCTGAGGCAGGAGAATCGCTTGAACCCAGGAGGCGGAGGTTGCAGTGAGCCGAGATCGTGCCACTGCAATCCAGCCTGGGAACAGAGCAAGACTGCATCTCAAAAAAAAAAAAAAAATGGTGTTTCCCTTGCACTGGTGCCCTGTTGGCTCCTGGCCTCCCTTCTAGACCATCAGCTACCTGTGGGTGGGAGCCTGTGCCTTTGTCATTGGTCCATCCTCTATCCCGAGGCCCCGGGACATGGCCTAGAACATCAGAGACTCCAGCGGCTGTTTCTCAAAGTGAACTGAACTAGCTGGTGTTTCCCACACGATGGAGCCCCCTCGACCTGCCCTCGATTCTCTCCTGACTTATTTCTCCCCACATCTTGGGCCAGTTCCAGCTGGACTAGCAAAGAGGGCAGCTTTACCTCTGTGCTCCCAACATGCCCTAGTGGGTGGCGTATGGATGGGGGAGCCTGGGACAATGTGTGTCCATCTCACACACTCTCTACTTCCCATGCCAGTGGGGAAAGTGGGGGCAGGAATAGAGCCCGGGAGGGAACTGCCAGAGACTGTCTTCTCTGCTAAGGCTGACAGGAAGACGGACAACCATGACAGTGGTGGAAGGGGAAGGCCCTTGGCCCACGGGGAATGGCTGTCTGGAAGCTGACTTGTTGTTGGGGGCCTGGTTTGGGCAGGAACCCCTGGGGTGGCTGCAGAAGGAGGCTGGGCTTCACAGACCCCTGTCGGCAGGCAGGGGCTACGCCCCCTATACTAGGCTTCTGCTCAGGGCAGCAGGGCCCGGAGCCACCAGCAGAGCTGAGGAGGCTGCAGAGGAGGCTGAGAGATCCATGGAGGAAGAACATGGTGGAAAAGAGTGCCTGAGGTCCGCTTCCACGGCCACTCTGACCAGCCTGGGCCTTCTGTGCCTTAGCATTCCCGTTCCTAACATGGAACTCATGGCCTTTGACCCGCTTCCCTCACGAGGCTGCTGAGAGGGTCAGAGAAGAAGCCGCATGGGGACTGGCCTCACCCTGGGAGAGGTGAGCAAGCCACGAGGTCCCATGTTGCATGAAAAGTCAAATGCTGTTAGGACGACTCCCAGGATGAGGAGGTCTGACCCCATGCTCATCGTCTGGACAGCTCTGACCCTAGAATTTATTTCCTCTTTCCCCACAGGGCAATCCTTCTACTCTCGGGTCCTGGAGAACTGTGAGGATGTGGCTGACTTTGATGAGGTAGGAGGCCCAAGACTCCCCCCTCCCTCAGCCCTGAGCCCAGAGGGGAACAGCCACCCTTCGCTGCCTCTTGCGGGCACACACTGGCCCCAAATCCCAGGCACTGGCCTGCTCTGAGCCCCTCACCTCTCAGCTGCTTCCTGAAGGAGGTGGTAAGGAGGGTGTGCAGGAACTCCCTCCCCCATGTTCCCCCCAGAAACCTCTGCACAGGTGAGGCCCGTGTGCAAATGACACGGGGAACAGCAGCCTCGCCCACCTCGACGGCCCTGCTGGGTCTGGGCCTGTTATTCCCTGTGGAGAAAGAGCCCACAGGTGCTGTAGACCTGAATGTGAGCCACCAGCTGAGGGCCCAACGAGGCAGGCGAGTGTTGGGGACGTCGCAAAGGCCAGTCTGTGTCAGTCCCCAGGGGTTGAAGAGCAGGGCAGCCCCGGGCACTGAGGTAGGAGCCCCAGTCACCAGGGAAACATTGTCAAGCACCCCACCTGAGTGAGGGCGCCATCTCCAGACCTTGAGGGGAAGCATAGGGAACAGAAGACAGTCTGGATTTTCAGAAACAGCTCTGGGGGTTCCATGAGAAAAGACGTGAGCTGCTGGTCTATTGACAACGATTTTTCTCAATCCTCACTCCAGCTGGGCTGTTGTCACAATTTTATCAGCAAAGGAGCAGGCGACACCATCCCACAGGGGTGCCCAGGAGCAGTGAGAGGACTTACAACGCTTCCCTCTCCCTGCCCTTCCCCTCGGTACCTGGCCGGGCTGGGAGCCCTATCCTCACACACACACACCAGCTCGAGCAGCCTGCGGCCTCCTCCGCCTCCTCACATTCTTTCGTCTATGTGTTTGCTGCTTCCAGAATCTATATTCCCCTCTGGCTGCTGTAGGTTCTCCAGGGATGACTTTGGAGTGAGGGCCAGCAGTCATCCGTCACCATCTTAGCACAAACTGGAAGCCATGTAGTGACCCTCAAATAGTGTACCCCCTCTCTCCTGGGGTTGGCTCTCCCGCTTGGCTCTGTGGGGGCTGGGAAGGGCCTCATAGCAGACTGTGCCTCTTGAGGTTGGCTGCTGGCGTTCGGCTGAGCAGCCACCAGGCTGACACTTGGCACCAGCTGTCTCCCCCTCCTCCAGAAACCAGGCCACACGATGTGGCTGTGTCCATCGACCCAGAGCTGGAGACACAGGGAGCAAAACCTCGCTCCTCACTCAGGCTTAGGCACAGCCATCAACCATCGCGGCCCAGCACCACACCCTCCCCAACCACTTCAGGGCGCAGTTGCCACGACCTCCCTGGTACGTCCCCACTGCTATGCAGGACAGGTGAATCACTCATTTAAAGTGAATCACTAGAGCTAAGGAAGTTTCTGTCCTTACCTTCTCCCCCTCCTGGCTGTACAATGACCTCAGTTTCTAAACCTGCCACCATCTTTGTCAAATGGGGTTGGTGATGGGTGTGAAGGTCTCTGTGAAATGATGAACAAAATGAAGGGTTATGGTGAGAGTGGAATCATGGCTGCCCACTGAGACAGCTGTCATAGATGCTTCAGGCTTGCCCCATTACACACCCGGCCTGCTCCCTCCCCTCCCCATTTCCTCAGTCAGGGCACTGGGCTGGCTGGGAGAAGATGCCAGCAGCCTGGCCCAGTTTCCCATAGTCCTACCTCCCTGGGCTTCTGCCCACTAATCCACCAGGCACAGCATCTGACTCCCTCCTCCCAAGACTCCCAGGGGATATGTCAGCCCAGGCGTTCAGCCAGGGGGCAACCTGATGCCCCTTCCAAGGGCACTGCCACCCTTTTCCATGCCCAGCGCCTTGGACACCTGAGCCACAGGTATGCACGACATTCAAAGTTAATCACCATGTCGTTCCTCTTCCCAACTCCGCCCAGCCTGCCTCAGGGGGAGAGTCTGTCTCTGCTGGCCCTGAACAAGGGGCCACATTCCGAGCATCTAGTGCATGCCAGGCCGGGCTTGAGATATCCCAGAGGCAGGAACCTGGGCTCAACACCCCATGATGATTTGTATGGGAGCTTAGGGATGGGGTAGCCAGAGTCAGTGTGGAGAGACTGGGGCAGGGCAGAAGCAGTTATGGAAGAAGCACATGACTAGGGTCAGAGAGCAGGGCACGCGATGGGGAGAAGAGGCTCCTGCCCGGGGAAAGTGCTGCCCGCCCACTGGGGAGACAGGGAAGTTTCTGGTTGTTGCAATGAGGAGCCTACTGGCATTTAGTGGGGTGGGGAGCAAGGATGCAGAATGACTTGCAATGCTCAGGCCATCCCGCACTTCCCACCTGGGAGCCCCGTGGGAAGATGGTGGCAGCCCCAGCAGCAGCACTGAGCTGCTTCCCGAGCCATGCCCCTTCCACTCAATCTCCGAAATCATCCACAGACGAAATTAGGCTCAGATGGTAACTACCCTTCCCCAGGTGACAGAGCTGGAAGCGGCCAAGCCAGGGTTCTGAATTCATGCATAGATTAGACCTAAGCCCTCTCTGGATACAGTGATAGGGCCTGACTCCCACCACCCCTGCAAGGCCCGTGTTGGAGTCTCTCCACACCCCCTGCCTCCATTTCTCCCTGGGCAAAGTGGCCTCAGCCCTGGCCACCAATGGTCAGCAGTGCACATCCCACAAAGCAGGAAGGCCACCCTCCCATTCCCTGTTCAGGAACGGCCCGGAGGCCTGGGTCAGCCCAGTCCCAAAGGTAGCCTGGAGCCATACCCTGGCTTTAACCTTTCTCCCTAGACCCAGTGGACAAGTTGTAAACTTCCCTGGCTTCCCCCTGAAAGAATCTGCCTGCCAGTGGTTCCAGAATATCCTGGGAAAGAGCCCTTTCAAATCCCCCTGAACCTTCTTGACTTTCCAGAAAGCCTCTTCTCTCCGTCTTACTCTGCCCAGGGCCTGCCGGAGCCAGCTTAGTGAGACACACTGGCCTGGGAGTCATGAGACCTACACCACAGTCCTTGCTGAGGAACCTCTTTGGGCTTTGGATTCCCCTTCTGTAAAAGAGAGATATGCTCCCTGCTCTATCTGCCCCACGGGACTGTCACAAGGCTAAAAAAAGATGAAATGAGAGACAAGAAAGCAAATGTCTCTCACAGCTCTACTAGGTAAGGGGTTCCAAGCAAGGGAGGGGCCCCTCCTCTGCTCAGGCATGGGTGAGAGGGGCTGCAGCAGCTGGGCTTAGGAACCTGAGTGGGGAGGAGGATGCCATGGAAGAAAGACAATGCTCTCTACAACAATGGGTGGAAACAGAGCCTGGACATGGTGTCTCCTTTCCCAGAGGCTGGAACCTGAGCCCCTACATTTAACCTACAACTCTGGAAAAGCTAGGGAGAGACAGAGAAAGACCCAGCCTTTGTGACCTGGGGAAACAGGAGTAGCCACCTTTAGCCAGTTTGGTTTGGCTCTAACACAGGCCCTGTGTGGAGCAGGCCCCAGGGGAGAGGCCAGAGTAACAATAGTACTTGTGCCAATGATAAGAAGAACTGCTGCTATTTACTGAGCACTTAGTGTGTGGCAAGATGGGCTGAGAGCTTGACACAAGCATTAGACTCACTAGAACTTGCTGGATTGGTAGCATCCTAGGTGATAAGGAGCCACAACAGGATTTAAACCCGAGTCTATCTGATTCCAGGACCTATGGTCATTTGTAAAGTAGACAAGACTCAGCCCTGCCCTCAAGGGGCTCAGTCTAGCGGGCAGATGGACCCACTACAAACAAGGAGGGACCCTGGGCCTTCTGAGCCAAGAGGAAGAAGAGGTCTCCAGCCTGGGGGATGACAGGGCAGGGGAGTTTGGCCTTATCTGCCCCTTTCTGCTTGTACCAGGAAGTCATGGCTGTTACCTCCTGGAGGCCAGAAACGCACCTGTCTTGTTCGTCATTGGCCTGGCACCCAGCATGGAGTTGAGAAAATGTTGCCGAGTGAAAGAATGAAAAAAACAGTGACGTTCACTAGGACTGGCACCTGTCACCGCAGGCCTGTGCCCAGACCGAGTGGGCTCAGCAGGGCTAGTGGTACATCAAGCCCTTTGCTGTGGCCTGGATAGAAAGGAAGCAGGCAAGGCACAGATGAGATCACCTAAAGGGACTTTAGATCACCTTGATCTCTAAGGTTAGAGATCATCTAGTTTAACCCTCTTGTCTTGCAGTTGAAGAAACAGGTCTTAGAGTGGGGAAGAGAATTGCCCAAGAAGACCAGCTGAGATCTGAGATCCTACATTTAACTTACAACTCTAAAGAAGCTGGGGAAAGAGACAGAGACAAAGACAGAAACAGAGAGAGAGAGACAGAGACACAGAGACCCAGCCTTTGTGCCCTGGGAAAGTGAAATAGCCACACTCGGGATACTGAGCCCAGGCCTTTAAGCTTGCAAATCCGTCTCTTTCCATTGTACTCTAAAGCAGCAGTCCCCAACCTTTTTGGCACCAGGGGCTGGTTTCGTGGAAGACAGTTTTTCCACAGACTGGGATGGTGGTGGCTGGGGGTTATTTGGGATGAAACTGTTCCTCCTCAGAACATCAGGCATTAGATTCTCTTAAGGAGTGCACAGCCTAGATCTCTTGCATATGTTGTTCACAGTAGGGTTCACACTCCTATGAGAATCTAATGCTGTCACTGATCTGACATTAGATGGAGCTTAGGCGGGAATGCTCGCTCACCCGCGGCTCACCTCTTGCTGTGTGGCTCTGCTCCTAACAGGCCATGGACTGGTACTGGTCTGTGGCCCGGGATATGGGGACCCCTGCTCTAAAGCTTTGTAGTGCATCTCAATATTTTCCCCCAAACCTATAGCCCTGTCCCTTTAAGGATGCTACCTTGCTGATTTAGGATGGTTCCAGGCCCACTCAGCGGCCAAGCTGGACATAATCCAGATCATTCTCCAAGGTACATCAGGGAAACCTTTTTTGCAGAGTCCTAGATCACTGGGGCTGATAGGATGCAGAACCCTGTGCCCCGGCCAGCACCAGCCAGGTCAGGGCTAAGCCTAGACCAGGAAACTGGGTCAGGACTCAGCACTCCCCGGGCTCCTGAGATCACTCCCTCCAACAGAGGCCCTCTTTCCCTCCCTATCTGTACTACCTACCACCTTGCTTCTGTCAACAGTCCTATCCCAGGCTGCTATTCCAGGTCTGTGTCTGTCTCCAGAACTATCCAGGACCATCCCCAGGACTGAGAAACAACCCTGCATCCCTGCGTTCTGCACAGCGTCATGCACAGAGCCTGGCACACAGCAAGTGCTCAGCAAATGTTCGCCCCCAGCATGGGGCTTGCTGGCTCGTGACATCTTGAGTGACTGTGTTTGGCTTAACTGCTACTTGAGTCCCCCAGCAGTACCAGGCTTCAGGAGAGGATTCAGTGTAGTGGATTAAGCCCTGAGGACTGAACTCCAGACTAAGCATCCTGAGACTTGAGTTTGAATCCTGCCTCTGCCACCAACCAGCCTTGTGCCCGCGGGCAACTCTCGCCTCTCCACTTTCCCACTTGTAAAAGGAGCACATCTTTGCCATGTTGCTGTGAGCTTGGTTATGGGTAAATGTGCTCTGGAAGTACTAAGTCCTACCCAGATGAAATTCTTCCTTCAGAAGCCCTTTTCCTTCAGTCTTTTTTTTTTTTTTTTTTTTTTTGAGGTGGAGTCTTACTCTGTCACCCAGGCTGGAGTGCAATGGTGCCATCTGGGCTCACTGCAACCTCTGCCTCCCAGGTTCAAGCGATTCTCCTGCCTCAGCCTCCCAAGTAGCTGAGATTACAGGCATGCACCACCACACCTGGCTAATTTTTGTATTTTAGTAGAGACCGTGTTTCACCATGTTGGCCAGGCTGGTATCAAACTCCTAACCTCAAATCATCTGCCCACTTTGGCCTCCCAAAATGCTGTGTTTGCAGGTATGAGCCACTGCCCCCAGCCCCCTTTCCTTCAATCTAATAGCTCACAAGTTCAATACCATAGTCAGGAGAGGAGTGTAGCTCCCAAACCCTCAAAATCCTCATCTCGTCTTGCTGTGTTCTCAGCATATCACCCCAAATGGAGGAAAGGACATAACCACAAAAATGAGGAGACAATGAAAAATGAAATTAGGGAAGAGAAGATGCAGTGAAAGAGACACGTGAAATCCACAGGCCGAGGCAGAAGAGGAAAGTGATGGCGGCGAAGGGGAGGGAGGTGGCATGACAAGGAGACAAGGCAGTTGCAGACCTGCACAGAGTTCCCACTGGGAAGATCTAAACTAAACACATTCTGCCGTGCTGTGTCACTTACGACTGCTGTCACCTGTGAGATCCCATTTGATTCTCTCAATAGCCCTCTAAGGTAGATATTGTCACCCCCCTCTTTTCACAGATGGGGAAGCTGAGGCACAGCTAGTGAGTGGCAGAGCCAGGGCTAGAACTCAAGTCTCCTGACTCAAACTCAGAGTTTCTGCAACACCACGGAGACTCCCAGTCTGCGTGAGATACAAGCCTCGGTGTTGTCAGAAGAACAAAAAAGAAGCAAAGGGTGGGCATGTCCTTTGGAGCTCTGTGAGGTGCCCAGAGCTCACAGAGGCTGCCTCAGCAAAGGAAGGTGTCAGCAATGGGAGATGGGGCTGGAAATGCTGTCTGGGCACAGCAAGGGGGCCTCTGGGTGCTAGGAAGGGGAATCCCCACCTCTTTCAGGGAGCTGTAGAGGAGCCACTGAAAAGTTTTAACAAAGGAGAGATAAAAAGAGAGGAAAATTCAACCCCAAAAGTCTCCTTCTTACAGCCCATGCCTCTACTTCCAGGGAGGCCAAATGGGAGTAACCCCCAGTCCCAGACCCTGAGTCACTTCCCTCCAGCCAAGAGGCCCGTCACCCTCCGAGGCCCCACACTGATGCCAGGACCCCACCTAGAGGTGCCGGCTTGATCGGTCTCCAGGCTGGGCCTTGGGATTTTTAAAAGCTTCTGGAATGGATTGCAGTTCCAGCCAAGATGAAGAACCCCTGAGAAAGACAGAGGGAGACAGAGACAAAGGGAGAGATAGAGACAGAGAGAGAAACTGATGAAAGAAAACAGATGTGGTGAGGAGAAGAAAGCAGACGAATGATGCGGGAGGGAAGGAAAAGAAATGAGGGGAAAGCCTCGTGTGGGTGGAAAATGCGGGAGGGAGACAGGGGAGGAAAGAAAGGAAACTGTAAGGTGGGAGCAAGTCAGAGACCGAAGAAGCTGCTGTGACTCAGTGAGGACCCTGTCTTCTCCCTCACCCGGAAAGCCTCCAAGAAGAACATTCCCCGCTGACATAGGCATGGACTGCCCAGACCCGGCTGACGAATTTCTGAAAGGGCACCTGAGCCACACACCTACACACGCTTCCCCTGATTATTCTCATCTGCAGTCAGGGGCCCCGGAAGCCCCCTGTCTCCTGTGCCCTCCCTGTCCCCCGACTCTCACTCAACAAACTGGCCCTCGCCCCGCAGCCAGGCAGCCTCCCTCCCCAGGTCCCTTAGCCTCAGCCTCCCGCCACCGTTCAACACCCCACCTCCCTTTCACAGGGCCATCTCCAAAGTCATGTCCTTTTTCTCCTGATCTTTCTCTCCTTCCAATGCCAAAATCCCACCCACAGACCCTCAGGGGGACCAATCACCCCTCCCCTCTTCATCCCCAGTAAACCAAATCTCGGTGGCTCCTGCGGCCCCCCGACTCCCACACAGCGCCCTGGCTGATGAGCTGGGCCTTCCTGGGCTGCTTTATTTCCCTGCAGCCCCATAAAAGCAGCTTCATTAAGAAAACCACACACTCTGCTGAGCTGCCAGAGGCATCCAGAAGCTGGAGCCGCAGCCGCTGAATGAGGCCTGTGGGCCGGGCTGCCTCCACTTCCTGGGACTCTCAGCGCACCCCTCCGCCCTGTGCCCACCTCGCCTCTGAAGCCCTCCCTAGGCCCTGCTCAGAACCCTCCCCACCCCACCCCGCAGACCCCTCTCCCGCTCCTCTGCTTCTTCCTCCCTCTCATGCCAAGGCCAGGTCCTCCCTTGCCAGTCCTGAAGGGAGATGTCACAAAGGCCGTTTTCCTGAGACAGGCCCTGCCCACACTGGGCAGTGACCCGCGGTGCTGGCCCAGTGTGCCCAAGCCCTCCAAGTCCCCAGGCTGGGAGAAGGAATCTCAGCTTTGGGAATGGCAAACGTGCAGGGTGGGCTCACAGAAGCCTCCTCCCGAGGGCCTGCTCAGCCAGCAACAGAGTGCTCCAAGTCATGCATCTGCTCTGAGGCCGAGTTCCTTGTTTATAGAGCACAGAAGCCATTACCCACCTCTCCGGCCATTGGAAAGACTAAATGAATGAATATGCACGTAGAGCATTCAGACCTCTGCATAAGAAAAAGTTCCCCAGAAATGGCAGCGATTATTACTATTATTATTTATTACTGGACTATTGAGCAGTCTGAATTTGGTAGGGTATAAAAATGGAACTAAAAAATAAAAAGTCACTGCCTTCTACCAGATCTGTCAAAATCCTCCCTGACACGGTCTCTCCACAGCGTCTTGAGCAGACCTCAGCGTTGTCTGGTCCTGTCCAGAAGGGCTTCCTACTCCAGTCTGGCATCCTGTTCACCCCTGGCCATCCTCCTTCCCTCATGCTTGTGGCTCAGGATGTGGAGTGGGACAGGGACCCCTGCTGAGGCCCTCCACATCCTCCCCTGGTGGGCAGCCCATGGAAAAACTGTCCTCATATCACTCTACCCCACTTGGCCAATGGAGCGCAAATAGATGACTTGCCACAGCCAACAGTGGCAGGCTGGGCTCCTTGCCCTGCTGTACTCTATGGGTCTCCTGCCAGTCCACTGCCCTGCAGATGCCACTGGGGATTTGCATGCCATGCTGCCCCTCTTGCAGGTATCTAATCACCATGAGCTGTTTCCCCAAGAAGTACCACAAAAACACTACGCCTAGGACAGAATTCTTCCCACCTTTCCCTTGCCCAGTCTTCTTTCCCATCCCAGGAAGGTGGGCTGGGTGATGGTTGGAGGTAACAGGGCCTTTGAGGAAGCCCTAGGAAGATGTCTGGCTCTGCCCATTGGCAGCTTTTTACAGAATGGGGCACTGGGCCACTTTAGCCTCTGTTTTGAGCCATTGTTGCCACTTCTAGGGCACCAGGAAAAATCCCAATCAAATTCCTACTCATCATTAACATTGAGTTAGGGAGGAAGCAACGAAGAAGTGGTAAGGGTGAATCTAGAAACAATGAGTTGGGGACAGGCTGTGGGCCTGACCCCAATAACACTAATCAGCTCAAACCTGTCCCCAGTGTTACCACTGGCAGAGTGAGGAGTGGTTTGAACTCAACACAGGAGTCTGGGGCAGAGCCTGTGCCAGTCAGGGTGATTCTGATGAGAGAGAGCTGGAAGCTCACAGCTCCATTCAGCACCCACCAAAAACCAGGCTCACACCCACATTCCTTGCTGTCTCCCTGGGACCCGACCACCACCCTGGTTGCACCACCCTCTCCCAACCCCCCTCAGGAGCTGGGAGGCCATGGAAGCAGCGCTGTGTAGGGAGTCAAAAGTCCTGGTAGGTCCAGGCTCTTCACCTACCACATGACCTTGGGCAGGTCCTCCAACATCTCTGAGCACCATCTTTGAAAGAGGAGTGGGCAACAATGCCGGCTCTACAAGGTGGTTGTTGGAACTAAATGAGATTCCAGGTGTCAATGCTTTGTCCCTGGGGAGCACTGGGCCCAAGTGAGGGGCCACTCTGACTGTTGGAGATCCCCACAAGAGATTCCCCTCCCACACCCCACGGCTCCTACCTGTTATTGCCACCGAAGCCGCAGTTGTCCCTCTCTCCCCAGACATTTCGGTGGCCGGTGGCCAGCAGCATCGACAGAAATGAGATGCTGGAGATTCAGGTTTTCAACTACAGCAAAGTCTTCAGCAACAAGTAAGTGTGGGATGGGGCAGGAGGGGCTGGGCCTGGACGGGCTGGGAGCCTGCTCTTCTCCTTGGGCTACCCTCTGTTTGGGGCTTAAAAAGGGGACCTACACTCCCAACCTGCCCTGGATTGATCTTCAAAGACCGAAGAAATCTTGGGCTGGTCTTTGATCCCCATTTTGATCCCTCTTCTTGTCTTCAGAATCCCCCAGTTCTCCCAGCTGCTGTCAGCCAAGAACACTCCACCCTCCTATCACCTCTGCTGTCTCCAACCCCATCAAAGCTTCCTGTCTTAAAGACTTAAAGCTTTAAGTCTCCCTCAATGCCACGCTGGGGTACAGTTACCCACTGGAGAGGCGAAAGGTGGAGGGGCTGATGATCTCCTCCAAGAGACACTCTGTAGCCCTGAGGGCAGGCTTGACAGTTTGGGGTGGTGGTTTAGGAGTCAGGCAAGCCTGATCTCAGACACTCAGGTCAGTCATCTACTGTGTGACCCTGGAAAGGTTACATAACCTCTCTGATTTCAATGTGCTCATGTGTGAAAAGGACAAGTATTTACCTCAAAGGGCAGCTGTGTGAATTAAATGAGATAGATATTCACTCACTCATTCAACAAATGTTTACTAAGCGTCGATTGTGTATCAGGTACTGAATTAGGTGATGCAGAGGGCGGGGTGCCTACCTTCATGGAGCTTGCACTCCACAAGTGAAGTACACCTGCCATACGAGCGTTATCACTATAAGGTGTTCAATAAAAGTAGTTGTCATCCTTCTCTCTGGGCCATGAGAAGAATTCAGAAGGATTTGAACACGCTGGAACAGTGGCTAAGTAATATCTTGGGTTAAAAAATCACAGCCAGGTGTGGCACACACCTGTAGTCCTAGGTCCTTGGGCAGATAAGGCGGGAGGATCATTTGATCCCAGTAATTTGAGGCTAGCCTGGGCAACATAGTGAGATCCCATCTCTTTAAAAAAAAATCGGTTGCTCTTATACAAGCTGGAGGTCATGGCTTAACTGTAACATGTCCAAGAAGGTATGGAGGTGTTAGCTCACTGAGGACTCAGAATGACTCAACAGTGGGAGGAGACTACAAACAAAAGAAAAGTAGGCCTCATCCTAAATCATACTAATAGAATTAAAGCACTCCTGATCTGAGCAGGAGAGACAAGGAGTCCACTGCTCTGATACTAGTGGCAGAGAATTCCTGTAGGCACCACCCTATAGTTTCCAGGAGGAAAGGGACTTTAAGTGTTACCTTATAACAAATGGATGAGAGCCTGAAAGGGAAAATCATAGAGGACATATTCATCCATTCATCCATCCATTGATCCATTCATCCATCCATCCATCTATCATTCCTGTTATTCATCCATCTGCCTATCCATTTGTCTGTCCATCAATTGATTTATCCACCCTTCCTTTCTTTCATCCATCCTTCCATCCTTTCATCCATCCATTCATCAATCCATCCCTCCATCCATTTATCAATTCATTTATCCACCCATTTATCCATCTATCCATTCATCCGTCCATCCTTTCATTCATCCTATCCATCCACTCATCCATCCATCCATCCATCCATTCACCCATCCTTCCTTTCATCCATTCATTCATCAACCCAATCCTTCCATCTTTCCATCCATTCATCCACCACTTACCCTTTCATCCTTTCCATTCATCCTTCCATCCACTCATCCATCCATTCATCCATCCTTCCACCTTTTTTCTTTTCCTTTTTTTTTTTTTTTTTTTTGAGACAGAGTCTTGCTCTGTGGCCCACAGTGGAGTGCAGTGGCCTGATCTCGGCTCACTGCAACCTCCGCCTCTCTGGTTCAAGCAATTATCCTGTATCAGCCTCCTGAGTAGCTGGGATTAGAGGTGCTCACCACCGTGCCCAGCTAATTTTTGTATTTTTAGTAGAGATGGGGTTTCACCATGTTGGCCAGGTTGGTATCGAACTCCTGACCTCAAGTGATCTACCCTCCTCGGCCTCCCAAAGTGCTGGGATTACAGGCGTGAGCCACCACTTTTGGCCCATCCTTCTATCTTTCCATTCACTGATCCATCTATCGATCCATCCATTCTTTCATTCTTTCATCCATCCTTCCATCCATCATCCTTCCTTCCATCCATTCATCCATCCTTTCATTCTTCCATCCATTCATCCATCCATCCATCTTTTCACCCAACTTTGCAGTCACTCATCATACATATAGTGAACAAATGCTTTCTGCCAGTCAGACACTATGCTAGTCACTGGAGATACTGAGATGAGGTATTGAGGCACAGTCCCTGCCCCTACCCTCCCAGAAGGCTTTTTGCCACAGGAAGAGGAAAGAAAGGTGTGTACCTAGAGGCAGGATGAGGAACAGGCTGCTGGAAGACAGCAGACAACTGAAAGATAGCCAGTATTTTCCAGCCAATGTGCTGTCTTAGGAGGTAGTGAGCTCCTTGCCACTGGGAGAGGGTGAGCAAAGAGTGGACCACATTGTAGAGGGGATTTCTGAGTCAGGAAAGGCCCCACCATATGGGCTCCAAGGAGTCTCTGATTCTGTGGGTTTTATTAGGAGCTTTCAAAATCTCAGCTGAGTATGGGGCAAGGGCATTTCAGAAATGCTGTCAGGGCCACAGGGAGGATGTTTAGTGCACAAAGGCCTTCCCTTTGCCTCTCATGGCATCACACCATTCAGGCAGCTGCTTTTGGCACCCACAAGCAAGGTTGGTGAGACACCCCCCACCAGGGGCCCCCAAGGTGAAGCAGAGCCTTCTTCCCTGGGGTGAGATACCATGAGGGTGTGACCTATGAGGACAGGAGAAACAGGAACAAGTGGAAGGCTCACACACAGACCAAGTGGGTGTGAAAAAGGAAGGAGAATCGGAAGTCAAGCACCAGGGAGGGCACCTGAGAGCCCCTGAAGGAACCCAACCATAGGTGCCAAAGCATCCAGGAGCTTTACAGCTCAGCCACTACAGCCCTAGCTGTGCAGGAGGGGAAACCAAGTCTCAGAGGGGAACCTGAGGTCACATGGGTAGACAATGGTAGAGCCAGGGCTAGAATGCATGTCTGTTAACTTCTCTTCCTAATCCAACTCCCAGAAACCAAAATATTTGAGCAGTGATGGTGGAAACTGAGGGCATGGAAGACATTGTTAAATCATTTATAATGAAAGCCACCAGCCTAACCACTGAAATGCTGGAAACACTTGAGCCCATCAAAAGACTGCTACAAACAAATCAGAAGTATTTGGGAAATCGGGAAATTGACTCCCATGCAGTGAATATGTTGAAAGTTACAGCTTCTATTAGGTGTTTTTGGTTTTTGTTTTGTTCAGAGACAGAATCTCACTCTGTCACCCAGGCTGGAGTGCAGTGGCCTAGTCTCGGCTCATTGCAACCTCTGCCTCCTGAGTTCAAGTGATTCTCATGTCTTGGCCTCCCGAGTAGCTGGGACTACAGGTGCATGCCACCAGGCCTGGATAATTTTTGTATTTTTAGTAGAGACAGGGTTTTCCCCATGTTGGCCAGGATGGTCTCGAACTCCTGGCTTCAGGTAATAGACCTGCCTCAGCTTCCCAAAGTGCTGGGATTACAGGTGCCAGCCACCAAATCCAGCCTGTATTAGATGTTCTTAAGTGCCAATAAGAAGGAAGACAGAAAGGGGAATAGTTCCTATCCTAACTCTCCTCTTCTTCCCTCCCTGCCCCCATCCAAGAGAAGGCAGGAAACCCCACAAGGGGAGGCCCAGGCCTGGTGGGAGAGGTTCTGGCATTTCTTTGGAAGCCTAGAGAATGCCCAGGGCACTGCTGGCTGCAGAGCTGAGATGGGAAAGAAGAGGTCCCCTTGTGGAGAGCACAGGCCCAGGCTGACACAGGCCAGCTTGTGGGGGTCAGAGTGGGAGAGAGGTGTTTGGAATGATGTGAGACTCAAGTCTCCCCATCCTGGCATTTGCCTGGGCCAGGCCAGAGGAGCAATGAGGCCACTGCCCTCAACCCCCACATGGCCCAGTTCAGACCCCAGGCTCCTTCTCATGGGGCAGCTGAGTGGAAGGGGTCTTTGGGGTCTGCACTAGGCTTAGCAATGAGCAAAGCCATGGCCACTGCTGGGGACAGTGCCTGGCACATGGCAGGCTCCTGATTATTTTGTGGAATAAAAGAATGAATAAATGCCCCTGTGGTGTTAGGAGGCAGAGGGTAGGTATACAAGGTGGGAGAGCCTTTGAGAGGGAATCGGAGTGGCCCCTCTTCTCTGAAGGACTCAGGGCACTCAAGGGTGACACTCAGCATCACATGACCGATGCATTTGGGGAAATTGAGCTAAAAGAGGCATGGAGGAGCTGCCTGGGAGAGTGGGTCCCAGGACGAGAAATGAGCCTGATCCCATCACTGCCATCTCAGAGAGAGAGACTTGTCCTAGAAGCAGAGAGTAGCTTGGAAACTGGCCCCTCACCCAGTGGTTCTAGAGGCTGCCAGGAGGCAGAGACATGGTATGAAGGAAGGAGGCATCCTAGGCAGAAACCAGGAGACCTCCAGGTCTGCTTGGCCCCGTTTGGAACAAAGACCTGTGTCCAGGAACCTTGGGCTTCCCCATGAGAAAGAAATGTTCGGTTCAGAAGATTTTGTGCATCCAGCTCTGCCTGTCCGGGACCTCTGAGGGTCCATGGCCTGGCCTCCAGCCTCCTGCCTGCTAAGGATGCCAGGGACCCTGAATAATTCAGGAGCCAGGACAGCAGGAGAGGCCTCGCAGGGCCCAGGACACCTGACACGGGCTCCCAGGGGAAAGTGATGAATTATTGACAGGATTCTGGTGCCCAGTTGCCGCTCTATTGTGATCAGTCTGTGGGCCCATCTGGGCTGGAGGCCTTTTCCTGCCGGCTAATTACGTGGGGATCTTAGCTCTGCCCAGCCGCCCAGCCCCTCGTGGGGCCAGACAGCCTCCTGTGAGGGGTGTCCTCTTTGCCATGGTGACCTGGATGGCCCTGTAAGGCAAGTAGTCAGAGGACATGGAGTTAGCCCCAGATCCTTTGCCTGACAGCCCCAGGGAAACTGAGGCCCAGAGAGGCCTCTTGTCCAGGGTCACACAGCAGGTTCAGGACAGTCAGGTCTTCACCCCAGGCCTCCTGACACCCGGGCCAGTGCTCCTTCCCACAGAACACATGGCCTCACAACTCCATTTCTAGGGAAATGACTCAGCTGTCTAAGGAGCATATGAGCCCACCCTTCCTCAATCGTCCTGGGCCCCACTCTCCCAGGCAGCTCCTCCATGCTGACCCATGCAGAGGAGTAAGAACCTACTATGTGTGCAGCCAGGATGCACAAAGGCCAGCTGCGGCGGGCAGGGTCGCCTCTGGGGTCACCACAAGGGCCAGAGCCAGGGGCTTCTCCTACCTCTTCCTGTCCCAGCTTCTTCCCAAAGAATATCTATAGAAGACGGGCTGAGGGATGGCATCCTAGAAGCAGTGCCAGGGCCTTTGTTTTGAAACTGTTTTCATGGCAAGCACTGTGTTTTTGCTTAAATGGTATGTTACAGACCTGTAGAAAGAGTCAAGGTTTATAAAACTGCTTTTCTTTATACTTTACATAAGGCTGAGATAATATCAATTGTCCATGTCAAAAAATATAATTTTTACTTTTATTTGAGAGAGGTTGGGGGGTGAACTGTTAGGAGTTAAAACCCCCCAAGCCACTCTTGGAGGTGTGGCAAATTGATTCCTTTAATCTTGCAAGCTCCTAGCGTCCCAGTCCCACCCTCCAGGCCATAGACAAGCTCTGGCTGTGCGAGGCTGTGCACAGCTTGAAGGGTGGGGGACTGCCTGGACCTGCCCCTGAAGCCCATCCTGCAAAGGAGACTCGCCCTGTGTAGGCTCTCCAGATGGCCAGCCCTGCTCATTATTAGGGAGGGAGGAGGGGCTGGCATCCGAGTGCCGGTGTTGGTAGAGGAATTTCACATGAGCAGTCTCCTCACCACTGTCCGGTGGAAGTCGGAGGGCTATAGCAGAAGGAGCCAAAACCACACTGCTGCCAGGAGGTGGAATCTCCCTTGGGTCCTGCTGAGTGAGCCCACATCTGTCTGACTCCAGAGCCCAGGCTCCTCACTGTCTACACCGCTTCCCTTTAGGGATGGAATTAATCTGCATGTGGACAGGGCTTGGACCAGGGTAGGAAGAGTAGGGGATTTGCCTGGAGGCCAATCTTGCTCAGCACACTGTGTGATTAAGGCAGTGGCTGAATGGACTACCAGTGACAGCCCCATCACTGTCACCACCACCGGAGTATCTAGCAGGGACTTAAAAGCACATGTCAGGGAGGTTGTTTCAGGGATTCCTCCTGGAAGGGGCGCTGGACAAGGTCTCTCAGGTTCTTCCCAAGTATAAGATCTGAGATTCAGGCAGGTTAAGCCTAGAAGGCACCAGACGCCTCTGTGAGCACTTGCAGGGGGAATAGCTCCACCCTGCCCCCTGGGAGTGTCTTGTCACATTGCAGCACCTCTGCGGATCCTGGGGAGCTGCCTTGGCTGTTCTTAGGCATCTAATTCTGGAGAAAGATGTGCCTGATCGCCCCACGCTCAACAGGTGCTCGACAGGTCCTAGGGGAATCAAGGCAGCTGAATAGCCATCCACAAAGGGTAATAGTAGAGCAGGGATTCTCAAAGTGTCTCCCCAGCCAGCAGCTTCAGCATCACCTGGAAACTTGTCAGAAATACACATTCTCAGGCCCTCTCCCACCCACTGAATCAGAGCCCTGGGGTCGGGGCCAGTGGTGTGAACTGAAGTCCGGTGGACCCAGTTTGGTGACTTCACATTAGAAGCTTGAAGTTGGCCATGGCGGGAGTATTTATATCTCAGAAACCAGCAAATGCTACAGATGAGCACCTCTCCTCTCCCACCAGTGACACATTTTCCAGCATATCCACAGAAGAGGATATCCCAGCCGTGCATGTTTTCACAAGCCCTCCAGGTGATTCTGCTCATGCTGAAGTTTGAGAACCACTGATTTAGAACAAAAAGGGGTGAGGCTGCAAAAAGATGAGTGTATTTTTTCGTGCCCGTGGTCTACTGTTAGAATGTCTACATGGTACGGAAGCTAAAAGTCCCCTTCCCTCTTCATTTTATAAAGACCAAATTGAGACTCAGGGGCAGCAGCTCCAGGGCTCCTGGCCCCCAGCCCAGCACTTCTGTCTCTGGGGCACTGCCTGAGCTGGGAGAGGTGCATGCAGCTATGGAAGAAGGCTTCCATGGGCTGCTCTAAGGGCCCAGAAGCCCAGTTCGGCTTTAGAGTGAAGGAGTGGCGTGGTCAGTTTCATCCTCAGGGAGGTGGGGCACAATGGTGGTTGGGGCTCTGAGCTCCAAAGGGGAGCATTTCATATCCATTCCTCATGGCTGCCCCTACCACTTCCTCCCCTCACACAGATGGGAAGATTTTTAAAAAATCAATGTTCACCCTCCACAGACCTCAGGGTGGTAGAGACATGAAGCATGTCTGAGTCAGAATTCATCTGATACCTCACCTCACCCAGATCTACCATTAATTAGCTGTGTCCCTTCCCCTTCCATGGCCTCACTGTCTTCCTCTATAAATCTCAGGCAGCATCAGATGATGCCCAAGGTCCCTTCCAGCTCTCACACGCCCTGGATGCTTCCCTCCCCTTTGTGCCTTCAGCTAGAAATGGTGTGTGTATTCTAATCCACTCTATGTGGAAGCACCATGTAAGAACGTCTGTCTGAGTTCCCTGTTCTCTCCCAGAGCAACAAACAGCCTTCTGACTGTGGGGTGCAATGGGGTTGAAGTCAACTCCATCAGCATTTATTGGGCACCCACTGTTGTTCATTAATTCAGCCAGCAGATATTGAGATCTCTAGTGTGCTAGAAATGTCAAACAGAGGCTAGAATAAAAAGCACCACCCATGCCCTTGAGAGGTTCACAGTTTAGAGGCAGTACATGAATCACGACAAAACGGACTGCTTTGGAGTGCTGGCTGTGTGCTGGGGGCTTTGACAAGAACACTCGCAGATGATCTCATTCAGTCCTCCAACAACAACTCTGTGAAGTAGGGCTTATCAGCTCATCTTATGAGAAAACCGACACTGAGAGAGCTTAAGGAAGTTGCCCAGGAAGCAGGTAGCTTGCTAGTCAGTGTCAGAGCTGGGTTCAGATCCCTGTCTCTTTGATGCCAGGACTGTGCTGTTAACCAAAGCATTGCACCGCCTCTCCCCTGCTGTGCAGTTCCATGGGCTCTGCCATCACACAGGTTCCTGCCATCCAGGAACTTACAGGCTGCAGATGTGGAATGGATGAGTGAGTGCTGTTGGTGTGGGCTGGAAACCTTGGTCATGGTTAGGCGGGTAGAAGCCGGAGGAGCTACTTGTCCATCCAGGAAACTCAGGTCCTTTCCCAGCCTCCACACTGAGCATCTGGAAGCTTCTCTGCAAGGGCTCAGCTAAAGCTGGATTTCATGCACCTTTCCCCGCAGTCTGTAGACATCCCCTAAGGGTGCTCACTGCCCCTTGGAGCTCTCCCAAGGAAATGGGCCTCCCACAAACAACCATCCACAGTGGGACATGCTGCCCTGGCTGCAACCAGTCCTGGCTCCTGGGCCACCTTCTCCAGCCCAGCCCAGAGCTGGAGCAAGCCCACCTGAGTCCTCCCCAAGCAGTCACAGCCCTTGGGATGTCAGTCTTGCTCCTCACCCTGGTCTCTTCCATGTTACCACCGTGCCCCCTCTGCCATCCCCAGGCTCATCGGGACCTTCCGCATGGTGCTGCAGAAGGTGGTAGAGGAGAGCCATGTGGAGGTGACTGACACGCTGATTGATGACAACAATGCTATCATCAAGGTGGGTATGCCCCACGGAGTTCCTGGACTTTCCCATATGGGGCCATCTGGGGGTCTGTTCTCCCTGCCTCACACATGGGGTGGTCTGGGGAATGCCTCTCATGCATGGCGAGGTGTCGCAGGAGGAGGAGACTCAGGTCAGACTCTGCTGGAATGGCTCAATCTGTGGCCATGGCTGGAGGCCCTGTGGCATGGCAGGGTCTGCTGCCCCACAGTAGGCACCCCTGCCCTTCCTACGGTGGGAATGCACCAACTGGTCCTTCCATTTGGACCCAGCTCAGGAGTCACTAAAGAGGCTCCTTTTGTCATCCAAAGGCCAGACTGAGCCCTGCTGGCACTCGAGGGCATGACCTTCACTCTGCACATCTGGCTCGGGTCCTCCCTGGGAGGGCAGGGACCTCATTTCCTATTGTTTGTCACATCCCAGCACTTTTGCGTGAGCACGCGTGCACTAGTGATGCACAGTCTAGAGGCACCTGACACATGTTCTAACAAAGAAGGAAGCAACCCTACCAGGACAGCCTGGCCCCAGGCTCTGCTCTGATTCTTCAGTCCTCTTGAGCTCAGCCGTGGCCACTCATGGGCAGTTGGCATGATGGTGAGGAACAGGGACCCTGAGTATGAATCTTAGGCTGCTCACTAACTGTGTGACTTAGGCAAGCTACATATCACCTCAAAGTGAGCACAATTACATTATCCACCTCCCAGGACTATTCTGAGGATTAAAGGACAATACACAGAAAGTACTTAGCACAGATATGCACAATAAATCTATAATATTGTTAGCTATTATTTCCTGACCTCAGTTTACCTATGTATAAAATGGGACTGTGCCATGGTCCCCCAGTGGGGTCCTGTGTAATATATGGCCCTATGTAGTGGCCAAGAGAAACAGCCTCAGAAGCCAGGACTGCAGCCACAGGGAGCTAGAACAGAAGGAACCCTCTTCTCCCATGGGCAGGGGTGGCAGGGAGGGCTTCTTAAAGTTACCGGGGTCTCAGCCACCACAGCAAGGGGAGAAGGGGTGCAGAATAAGCTATGTATGGACACCCATGGGAAGGCGGGCTGGGAGGAGAACACAGAAACCTGGATGAAGAGTGTAGTGTGGGAAGTGAGATAAGAGAATTGGGGAGTGAGCAGGGATGGACAGACAGCACAGCCCATGCCCTGGATTTTCAGAATCAGACTTAAGATGTCAGCAGAGGAAAGGACTCACGGATCTCCTAGCCCACTTGCCACCCATCTCCGCTACCCATTGTTATGAATGGGAACAATGAAGTCCTGGATGGGGAATGGATTCGGCCACAGTTGACAGCAGGGCCAGCACGGAGACCCAGGACTTCCAATGCCAGAGACCACCATTTTCCCATAACAACATACTTGGTTCCACCAAGAGGGTCCCATTTGTTCCAGAAAGGACATGGGGCTTGGAGTTAGGCAGCCTGGGCTCAGATCCCAGCTCCAGTACTTCCTAGCTGTGTGACTTAAAGCAAGTAACTTAACCTCCTGATATGCTAGGTAAGGTAGGTTGCAATGTTGAAAAGATCAAATGAGTGTACATTAAAGCATCTTAGCATGATGCCTAGCACAGTGAGGATTCAGAAAATATGTGCACCTTTCCCTTCCCTTGGGAAATCTAAGCCTGGGTGCTGGAGCATCCAAGCACTGAGTGAGGGCCGCCTGTCTGGGGCACAGGACCAAGTCACCTCTAGACCAGTGAGGAAGGGTGATCCCTGTGCACTGGGGGGGAAACTAGAGCTGCAAGAAAGTAATGGCTCCAGGACGCAGAGCAGGAAGCCCAATCATGACTCTCCACTGCTAAGCCTGAGCCCGGTTGAGTGCTCTACTTTTTGCCAGAGGAAAACCCTAGGGCAGCTCCCAAGATTCCCTCCCTCTCCAGGGTAGGAAGGGTGAGTGTGAGCCTGGGCCCTGGGCTCCTCTCCCGGAGGCCACTTTCAGCTCATTCTGTCCATTTCCAACAAGCCGATTTCTGGCGGGCCGCGCCTCATGCCTGCAGGCAGCCCTTGTTCTGAGGAGAGGAGGTGGCCTGATCATGGGGATGCTGAACGACACTCTCGGTTATGTAGACAGTGGACTCGGGGGGTGAGTCCAGGCTCAGTTGTCCTGGGCAGGCCAGGCCCCTCCACCTTGAGCACCAGGGAGGAGTGGAACCACCAGCAGCGGGACCTGGAGCCAGGTACCAGTAAGCTGACCCGGTCTGCACAAGTCAGCCTTTCAGAGCCTCTGTTTTCTCATCAGCAAAATGGGGCAGAGGGGATCATACCATCCTGACCTCCTCCAGTGAGGCAAGGGTGTGGAAGCGCTGTGTAAACACCACCAAGCAGCCACATATACGGGGTGGAGATTGCTGTCACCATCCCAGCTGCTCACCACCGCCTCCCTCCCTTCAGACCAGCCTGTGCGTGGAGGTCCGGTATCAGGCCACTGACGGCACAGTGGGCTCCTGGGACGATGGGGACTTCCTGGGAGATGAGTCTCTTCAAGAGGAAGAGAAGGACAGCCAAGAGACGGATGGACTGCTCCCAGGCTCCCGGCCCAGCTCCCGGCCCCCAGGAGAGAAGAGCTTCCGGAGGTAACAGGCAGGACCCCTCTGGCTGCCCACTGCTCCCAAGACACGGGGAAGAGACCTGGGGCCTGGTCCTACTGACAGGCCTCTCTAGGCCTAGCTGGGCTCAGAGTACAGGGCTGAGCTTCTGGAGAGACATCCAAGGGGTGGGAAGATGTTTCTGTAGCCCCCCACCCAGCCGTCCACCCCCGAGGTCACTGGGCAGGGAGCAGGAGACTCAGATGGAGCTGCAAGGCCAAGGCCTCCCCAGTGGCCCTGAGGGAGGTGGAGCTCTAACACAGGGATGGGGCTAGATCTCCTGCCTTTCTCAGAGAAGGGGAGTTGGGGATAGGAGGGCCCCTGGCCTCTCTGGTTCAAGACCCAGCAGTGTCCACCAGGTGCCGGCAGCCTGACCTCTACCCTGGCCCAGTGAGGAGGCCCAAGAGAGGGCAGCTCTTCCTGCCAGAGTGAAGCCAAAGATCCTGGCTGGGCCCTGGCCTTTCTTCCTCTTGAGAAGGGAGGGTACCCGGGAACCCCCAGAATCCAGCGTCACGCCCTGCAAGTGTCCTGCCACCTATGGATCACAGGAAGCTGGATCCAGGACAGCTCATTCCACGTGCACTATTTTTACAAAACAGAAAATGCAATTGTATTACTATTAGAGACCAAGGGGACAGAATCTGGGCTAGTCTAGTAAGATGTTGTCCATGGGTTCCTAAGTCACTAGGAATTATGTGTTAAATGCCAGTAAGTCAAGGGTGCATCTGAAGGACCAGGGTGTGTTTTGAGAAGGGACCCTCCGTGCCACTGGAAACATATCCCTGTAAGCTCCTTCCACGCTTTCCTTTCCAAGTAAAGTTTACTCAGTCCCTCTGCTGAAGAAACCATAGGTTCTAAATTAGTGTAATTGAACTGACATACTTTTATGGGACAAATATGTTTTCTCCTTTGCACTTGAATGAGTTCACACCCCCTTAAGCACCCCTCACACACAGGTGCATGAGTGCACACGTGTGCACATACACATACACACACACACACAAGCTTCAGAAACCCTGGGAGCCAGATGAGTAATAGTAACAAGGTCAAAGTGACCAGGCCTGCAACAAACATGGCGGGACTGTCTACTCCAGGCCAGCCACGGGCATGGGGCAGCCCCAGGCTAGCTTAAAGCCTGTCCCCTCAGACTCCTGGCTCTTTAGCAGAAAACCCAGGCCTGAGTCCTAGCTCTGCCTCTTACTAGTCGTGTGACCCTTGGCAAGTCTCTGACCCTCTCTCCTCACCTGCAAAGAAGGACATAGCAAGGAAATCCCCCTGCCCTGCTGCTGGGAGAGCCGGAGGGATCACAGAGGAACAGGTGGCAATGGAGGTGCTGAGCGCTGCCCATGTCCAGGCTGGTGACAGACAAACAGGTTTCTTGTAGCACAACAATGCAAAGAGTCAGGAATCGGGTTGGAAATTGTGAGAAGAGGAGCAGTGCTCAGACGGGGAGTGAAGGGATGCTGACTCAGTGGGCACCACCTGGTCCTCCTCGACTGTCTCCATTCAGAAAAGAGGTTGGCAGGGCTGGTCCAGAAACCAGAAGCCGGGCTCTAAGAAAGAGCTTCCAGAGAACAAGATCGGAAGCCACACAAGGGCCATCAGTCACAGGGAAAGGAATGCTGACCCCAAATCAGGAGAGCTAAGGCCCATTAAGTCCCATCTTGACTGTGCCACTCATTGGCTGAGTGACACTGGGCATGTCACCAGCCCCTGTAGGTCAGTGACAGGAATGGGTTCAGCAAGTTACATCTGGCTCCCCTCCAACTCTGAGGTCCTAAGGGACCCATGGATGCTCCGGACCTGTGGGTCACATCCATGGGAAACAACATCCTGGGAGCCCTTAGCAGCCACGAAGGCAACCTCCCTGGGGTGGCGTAGCAACACAGAGCCAGTTTCTCACTCAGTCCTAAGAGAGTGGGCCAGGGTGCTGATGGGGGCTCTGGAGAGCTTAGAGTCCCAGAGAGCCCTAGGCACCAGGAATCTGGAGATAAGAGGGCTCCCCCGACCCTTCCTCACAGCCTGGTGGCTTCCCCACCTCTCCCCATCTTCGTGTGGCCCCTCCCAGGGTAGCAGCAAGAAGCGGGAGCAAAAGGAGGGGCTTCACCCCGGACTGGGAATTGGGAGAGGGTGACAGCCGAAGCCAGGCACCCCCACCCTGCATTGCAGGGGCAGTGTGCAGGAGCACAGTTTCCCTGCTGCCACTGGGGCTGCCAGCCCAGGTTTGAGAGCACATTGGGGACAGGCATCGCTGCTACACCTTCTCCCGCCAGGCCTAGCCATGCAGCCAGCAGGCCTGGTTGTGGAAAAGAGGGGTTGAGAAAAATTCTAGAGATGGGCCATTTGCTGGTGAGGAGAAGGTGGAGCGGGTTCAAGAACTTGGGGTTTTCCTGTAGCTTAATCCTGGCTGCCCATATGGGGCCATTGAGTTCTGGGTCAAGGAGTGCTGAGGTGAGGAGGGGGACCTGGAAGCTGGCCCCGCAGCCCTAGATGTTGCATCTCACCCTTGTCACATAGTGTGGGTTCTGGGAGGAAGCCAGAGAGCTCTCCAGAAGGGACTTGGCCAACCTTTTATCAGGAAAACACCTACTCCTTAAAGAGGACAACACCGGGGAAGGGGTGTCAGTGCCTCACCTCTGACCCCGTTAGGAGCCCAGGCAGGCTTCCCCTGCATCTGCTCCCTGCCCTCCATCCTCTCCTGGGAAGGCCAATCCCCTTATAGATCAGGGTATTCAATAACCACAGTTCCCTCTTGTTCCTGCTTTAGCCACAATGAGCAAGAGGAAAATCCCGTTGCTGGCAAGCAGCAGTGTCTCACCGGCCATCTTGACCGTTAGGGTCCGGCGTGGGGATCAGCCGCTCCCTGGCTGATGGGGTGAAATGAAGGCCTGCTGGGGGCTGCGGGGAGGTAGACTGAGTGGGCAGGAAACAGCCTCAGCCCAGACAGGCCCCGGGCAGCCCAGGCTGGAATCTTCCACGGATGGAGGGGAGGCTGATGCCAGGAGATCCTCTGGGCACTCCTCACCTCTCCCTCCAGGGCCTGGGTCCACCCCCCAGCCCTGCCCTGCCTGGCCTGCTTCTCTGGGACTTCACCCACATTCATCCTGTCCTCACTCTGGGGGTCAGATGGTTCTAAGCAGGGGCAGTGTGGACCTCAGGCCTCAGCTGCTGTGACACTCACTCCTAAGACCCTAAGAATCTGCCATGAAGTTACCCCGTTCCTCCTCAGGGAATCAGTATGGGGGCTCTGCCTGAATGACCACCAACCCCACCGCCCACTGACTCTCTGCCCCAACGATTCCACCTCCCCTAGGCCCTGGTCAGCCGCATGCCCTCTGAGCCACTCTGCCCACTTCTCTAGTTCCTGCCACGAAGCCCTGATTTCTGCCGGCTTTTTGCACAATGCCCCCGGTAATGTGCCAGGAAGCTGTGCTGTGTGACAGAGCACAGGCTCCACTCACAGCTCTGCTATTGGGAACCCCCCTCCCCATTTGTGAGATGGGGCTCAAGGATGCCTCACAGAAGTGCCAGGATTGAGTGAGGTGCACCTGCGAGTCATCCACCCCTGTGCCTGGCATGTGGCAGGTGCTCAGCCAGTGTTCACTTCCTTCCTCTTCACTGACTCCATGTTACCCTGATGTCAACTTCTACCCCGAGCAGCACCTGACCCTCTTGTTCAGGTGCTGTCCAAGCACCTTCTCAGCTCTTGCTCCCCACCCTATACCAAGGGCTCTGCAGAAGCTGCCCACACAGGAGCCTTACTGGCCCAGGGGCAGGTATAGGGAGCTCATTTACTCAAAGTTCCCCTCACCTCCCCAGGCTCTCAGTGTTGCAGAGATGTAATGAATCCCTAACCTCATGGGCGCTCCACTCTCAGCAGCACAAAATCAGTGTTCCAGACCCTTGCATGGCAGCGTATGCCTGCCCTAGTCTCTGGAGAGAAAGTGACTTCGGCCCTGACCACACTCACATGCACACACATGTGTACACAAGTGCCCATGTGTTTGCACACACTCACATGCACTGCATGACACCAGGGAGGACTCTGGATTCTGGGCTCTGCTGTTGATGCTGTCTTTAGGAGTCACATCTTAGAGAGGACAAAGAAAGAAATCCCAGCTTTAGTCTTGCAGCTAAACTGTAGAGACCTGAGCCTTTCCTCCTGAGTCCCAGTATTCTGCGACTATCTCCTCTTCTCATTTTCTCCACCTGGCCTGGCTCTCCTGCCCTCCACGACCCCCACCTCCTTCTGCTGCCCAAACCCTCTTCTGCTGGTCTCCTCTCTGCTGGGTCTCATCTGGGAGGAGTTTGGGGCAGGAGCCACTTTTCTCATTCTCCTTATTGATCATTCTTCCACTCCAGTGGAGGCCTGCAGAAGCCAGGTAACTTCCTCCTATGCTGGGGCCAGAGGGCAGTGGGGCACGTGTGCATGGTGGGGCTCTGAGACAGAGGGGCAGAGAGTGGGCATGCAGAAGTGTGTGCATGTGGGGCCAGTACATGCAGCCTTACCCCAAGAGTGTTTTTAAATCGGTTTCCACAGCCCCTAGAGAGCTAGAAAATCCTCTGCTGCCTTCCTTCTCCAGGCTGAGCCCCAGAGTTGCAGCAGCTCCCAAAGCTGCTCAGATGAGCCGGGGCAGCCGGGCGCACTGGGATTTTGTGCTTGAGACACATTCCTCCTCCTATGCTGTGAGCTCTTCTCCGCTTAGTAGTCTCAGCTGATGTGGGCAGCCGAGGCCTGGCTGATGTTAACACCTTTGAATTACAGACTGACCTGCTTGCCCAACGTAAAGGTTAGCTGGCCAGCGCTGGACTGCAGCTGTGCTGTGTCTAGGCCTTCAGGTCTTGAGCCATCAGGATATGCAGTCAAGTCTACCTGGGCAAGGCCTGTGCCAGAACAGGGTGTGAGGAGAGGAATAATTTGCTAATTGTTATTCACTTTCCTGTCTTCATCCTCATTGCCACAGCACTGGGAAAGCATTGAGAGAACATTCCAGAAAAGTTTTCTGGAAGCCTCCCTAAAGTGAGATAGGGGGGCCGTTTTTCCCTGCTCTGAGCCCTGGAGTGGTAGCTCACTTACCGCCCCACCTACACCCCTAGAACTGCCCCCAACCACCCGTGTGCACTCCATAGCAGGACCCCCAGCCCTGCCTCACCCTCACAGAGCAGGCTTAGCCCACTGTTCCCCTAGAGGCCCCCAGAGCCTGGGAGCTCCCACCCCATTGGAGGGGAGCAGGGGAGCAGGGGAGCCGGTGGGCAGAGGAGCAGGGTGGCCCAGGCCGGGAGGGTGGCCAGGCTCATCTAACCCTGTGTTCCCTGAGGAAGCTGCGACCCACATTGTGGAATCATCAGATCTTAGCCTGGTAGGGGCGATGAGCTGAGGCCCTGAGGTATCAGAGCTTGGGGTTGGAATAGTGGCCACCCAGGCCCAGCACTGTGGGCCCCTCCCATCTCCCCCAAGGCAGAACCCAGGGCCATGGGACCCCTTTTCTGCAGACCTAGGCTTGCTACCGTGCGAAGCTGTGGGGTGAGAGGTCTGTGGGACAAGGAGGCCCCCGGGGAGCGTGCAGGCCCGTGGGGCCGGGGCTGAGGCCAGTGTCTCTGGTCCACAGCCCCTCACACGTGTCCCCTTGTCTCCTCATTTCTTCCCCCTACTCAGCAAAGGCAGAGAGAAGACCAAGGGAGGCAGAGATGACGAGCACAAGTAGGTGTCCCAGGCGAGGGCAGACGCAACAGCGTCTCTGGGGAGACAGAGGCCTCCTCCCCACAGGCTGTGGAGGGCGGGATGGGCTCGGCTGAGAGGGCTCAGGAGTGGGCTGTCGTGGTAGAGCTGGCACGGGTCATGGAGGCCCAGGGAGGCCTTTTCACCTGGCCACGGGGGTGAGGGATGAGGAGGGGTTAGGGTCGCGGGGGAGGTGGCCAGACCTTCTGGTTTCCACTCTGGGCTCTCGGGGGTGACCATCCTCCTCTCCGTGTCTTGTTCCTCCTCCACTGTTCAGCCCCCATCCTGTGGCCTTCGGGCTTCCCTGGGAGGGAGGGGACAGCTAAAGGCTAAGGGGAGAGGGGCATGAGGACCTCAGGGATCCCTCTCCCAACAGGGGCGAGGTAGGGCCAGGCAGCTGGAGGCATAAGGAGGAGGAACTCTGGGTACCCTTTGCAGCTGCAGGTCGTGGGTGGAGTTGGAGACCCCCAGAAAGCTTAGGAGAGGCCACCATTTGGGCGGCCCTCTCTATCTTCATCTCCCCAAAAGGCTTCCTGGAAAAATGAGGTCAGGGTGCTGTCTGGAGAGGACAGGAGAAGGGTCCTGCAGGTGGGAGGGGCTGGTCACAAGGGTCTGGAAAGATTCGAAGGCTGGGAGTTGTGAATGGGTCTTGTAGGCACCCCTAGAAGCACACTGACATCTGGAGGACTCTAGCATTACGGGATCTCATAAGGGCAGTGGTAGCCAAGGTGGACCATACTGGAGGAGGCCTCTGGTTAACACCTGCTCTTACAGATGACAAATCTGTCTCAGAACAGGGGCAGAGCTGGAACCAGAAGACAGGGAAGCTGACTTCTGACCCAGAGCTCACCATAGACCCAGGAAATTTAGAGAACTTGACTGTATCTAAATTTAATCTAATTCTCCAAACATACCAATGAGAGCTGAAAAGCCAGGAGTGTGGTCTTTTTTATCTTCCAGATAAGCAACCTGAGCCCCAGAGATCTTAAGAGATTTGCTCAAAACTGTGGCCTCAATATATTAAGAATTAGTTCATCTGAAGATATCATGGAAATATCAGGATTGTGTGTTGAGGGGTCTGAACTGATCAACACTGGTGTGGGCTTGGGATATCCACTGGCATTAAGATCCTGGGGAACTCACAGCCTCATTCATTGCTTCAAAAAAAGGTATGAGTTCTAACTCGCATTTGTTACGCACAAGCAAAAGCAATGATGATGCAGTGTTAACTCTGTAGTGATGGAGGAAATGGCGCTGTGTAGGAAGAGCTCCAGCCCAGAGACCTGAAGGATGGAGGAGTTTGCCAGGTTCCCAGTAAGGGAAGACACGTAGGCAGAGCATGTGTCAAGGCTCAGAGCCAGGGAACTGAATCCAGGGTGGGTGGCGATGATGGGGAATGCTGAGCTGGGGAGTCCTCTTAGGGAGTCCTCAAGGGTTCAGGTTTCTCCATAGATGCTTAGATGTAAAGGGCATATGAATGAGATACAAGCAGCCTGTCCATCCCCAGCTTCTCTGCCTGAGATCAGCGATGCTCTAAGGCCCTTCTTGATGCCCAGCTTCCCAGTCTGTCCCAGGCCAGACCCACAGGGACACAGACTGGCCTGATCCCTTTGACTGGCTACAGTTGGAGTAAGAGGTACCTCACAGTGCCAGCACATAGTAGGTCCACCAAAATACTGGTTTCCTAGCACTTCTCTGTCCTAATTTCTTACCATCTCTAATTAGCACATGAGATAAAGTAAACTGGCATATAGTATTGTTATTATTATTATGTGTAGAGCAATAGGACTATTGAAAGAATAGGAAAATGAGATTTCTAAGAAGAGATTGAACAAATTTAAACTCTTTAGCCTGGAGGAGAGAAAACTGTGGAGACAGATTTCAATCTCTGAAATGTTAATGTGTGGCAAAGCTGGTTGGTATCTATCTCCACTGAGAAGAGATAAATGGAAATAAATTTAAGTTGAAGTTAAGTTGAAGTAGAGAAACAAGATTCAACCCACGAAAGAACTCATAGTGTGTGACATTCTGGGATAGGCTGGTTTGGGGAGATGAGAAAACACCCATCATCTTCCATGATGCTGCTTGCTTGAGCCTTGCAAAGGGCTGGGCCGCCAGCAAGAACTGAAGAGCCAGCTTCCCTGACAATCCTGGGGTCAGGACAAGTGTGTGTGGGTCCCCCAAGCCTTCTGGTACAACGTGGGCACATGTGCAAACGGGCCAGTTTGGAGACAGGGTGGTTCTTGTATAAAGGGTCAGCCTATCCTGCCCACCTATGGAAAGCTATTCAAAAACTAACTGACATTCAACACACTTTCAAAGACACCTGTAAAGACCAAAATTATGAAATTCCCTGTGCCTTGGGGCATGGAAAATTTTTAAAATAAACCCATTTAGGGGCGCTTGGATAACATGCTCCGAGGTTTTGAAAATTGGGCTGTTTGAGCAATGCAAAGAAGGACCACAGACCCTATTTCTCATAGACAGGAGTCTTTATCCTGATTGATTACCTGAGGCCTGAGCTAATGAGCCTAGTAGTTCCAGTTGAAGCCAGTCATGGGGCAGAAGCCCTGGGCAGTGAATGGACTCGACCTGCAGCTCATTTATGGTCAGGTCTCTATTAGCTTTCAGAATAATCCAGAGACCTGAATTAATGAAACACTCGGGTCACTAAATTTAGTTTGGTGAATGTTCCCAAGTCATTATGAATACTAAGCTCTACCTAGGACCCTGTGTGCACCACACAGCAACACGCTTCTAAATCTGGGCCATAAAATGAGCGGAGAAATCATCAGATTTATAGTTTACAATAAGTGAACTAATTTTAGCATTTTTTTCCTCTAGAGATAAATACCAGTCTAGATTGTAGGTGCATTTCATTCTGACCATGGTGAATGTAGCCACAGGAAACTCAAACGGATTCTAAATCCTCAGAGGGTCCTGGGATACTGGCCTCCCCTTGGCTCTCACTTCTCAAGCTTTAATACGCCCAAGAATAAGGAGCCATTTGATTGTAAAGTGAGTTTTCACTGAGTTGATTATTGGCTTGTTTTCTTTGTCTGTTTCTCACCATATCCTGTTTTTGGTAATTGTAGAACTCAACTAGACCAAATGCAGAATTTTACTTTGAAAACAAAAAAAGGCCAGGACAACGGACACCTCAACAGCAAATTACATTTTTTGAAATCTAAGTCTTTCAGACAAATAGATAATCTTCAAAATTCCCTGATTAAGTTGACATTTATTTCAAAACTCTCCTTTACAGTTTGCCAAGAGAAGTAGGCATACTGCTTTCTGGGAACTGGTGCTGCAATCAGGCAGAAAGGCTTTTTCTATAGTGAACTTCTGATGTGTTACTGATCAGAAAATTACAAAGGCTAGTGGCAGTGATGACATCATGCTGTACTGATCACAATTCAGATTCATTGAAGAGCAAGTCTAGGAGAATCAGAGGTACAGAGCCTGTAGTAAGAATTCTGGAAATTACATCCTTCACTACACATTTCTGCATTTTTAATAAAGGGACAAAGACAATATCCTTTTGAGATATTCCCAGGCACACAGGAGTGCTACCAGTACTACCACTTCAGACAGCTAAAACTATGCAGGGTTGGAAGGGAGAGATTTCTCCTTTCAATTGCTTCAAGGTGTAGTAGAGATAGTTGGACAAGTATAGTTTTTGTTTGTGTGTTTGTTTGAGACAGAGTCTCACTCTGTCGCCCAGGCTGGAGTGCAGTGGTGCGATCGTGGCTCACTGCAACCTCCGCCTCCTAGTTCAAGCGATTCTCCTGCCTCAGCCTCCCGAGTAACTGGGATTACAGGCATGTGCCACCACACCCAGCTAATTTTAGTAGAGACGGGGTTTCACCATGTTGACCAGGCTGGTCTTGAACTCCTGACCTCAAGTGATCCACCTGCCTCGGCCTCCCAAAGTGCTGGGATTACAGGTGTGAGTCACCGCACCGGACCAGGACAAGTATAGTTTTTTAAAGCCTCAATCATTTCTTTCAAATCTGTTTGTGTTAAGAAATAAAGTGACTTTCAAATTCAAGGGCCATAAGTGCCCCAGGGATGCCTCAGGTCCTTTTCCACCTGGGTGAGTCCATGGGACCAGCCTCTGAAAGCCACTATTTCTTGCTACCTTGCACTCCCCCCGGGACTCAGGCAGCAGGGCCAGATCCCATCCCAGCAGGCCGGGCAGCCGGCTTCTCCAGGCAGGGCCTGCTTCTAACCTACCATCTCAGAGCACTTCCCCTCTGGGGAAGTGGGGAAGGGGCAGGGGAGAGGGAAGTCTGTGGCTGGAGCAGGCTGCAATGGCAAAGGCTAACTATGTAGGTCACACATGCGGAAGGGCCAAGGACTCCAAGAATAACACAGCCTAGGAATGGCCAAGAAGTAATGGTGCAAAGTCAAACGCTGAGCCCTGCAGGAGACTCCTGGGTAATTCAGGAGAGACATAGTTGAGCAGCACGGCTGGGCAAAAAGGAATCCCAAGCACTGAGACAGGAAGTGACCCACGAGGAGGCCCACAAAAACTACACTTCTGAAGCTGGGCCTATGGCAGGGGTCAGGACAGCCAGCACCCCTGTCCTTGGGGCCAGCAGGTGGGGCAAAATCCCACAGGATGCTTCAGGGCAAGCCAGCCAGGGTGGTCCTTTCCCCACCATCACACGATTATTTCTGGTGGGTTCATTGATCTGTTCAATGTTATGTCACCAGCAATTTAACATGCACAGCAGTCCCTTCCCAAATGTTTGGGTGCTCAGGTTCTTTTTGAATGAGCCCCTTCTTTGTAAACATGGGTATGATCTGTGAGATTCCACAGATGACAGCATCCTGATCTGTAAACTATGCTGGCACACAGACCATACCTGTACCTATGGGTGCCAGCCCTGGGGCCTTTTAGCTAAAATCCCAAATGGTCAGGAATGGATGGGATTCTTGCCCACAGAAAAGTGCAGTCCTACGGCATCGAGGCAAAGGACCTGAGATGCAGTAAAAATATTGCTGGCCTAGAACACAGGAGCTTTCTGCTTCAATCCCAGTTCTGCCACTCACCGTGTGACCTCGCGATTATTGTCCCCTCTCTGAGCCTCAGTCTTTTTATTGGTTGAATGAGGAGAAGTATGTGGCCCTCAGAGGATTGCCAGGAAGATGAAATGAGCAGACATCTGCAGACATTGCAGACATCTAGAAAGGCCTTTGGCCCTATGTAGTCTCTTTTTGGCCTGTATGTGTGTGTGTGTGTGTCTGTGTGTGTGTGTGTGTGTGTGTAACTCACCTCCCCCATCAGAAGGGAGGAAGCTTTTGAAAATAATTCCAAAGGCATCAGCTTTGATTTTAGAGCCTCTTTCTTTCCCTTTCTTCTCATTGTCGTATTTCAGATGGTATGCTACTGAAGAGTGCAGACACATCAGCCTTCTTCCATTCCTTTTTAGGAATTCAAAGAACATGCTAATGTTCCCTAAATTGTGAGCTGCTGCCACGTGAAAAGGGTGATTCTCAATTGCTCCCTCACTGGGATATGAACGTGCTTTGTCCTGCATATGAACAGTAAAGAAAGGTCCTGGGGTTGGGATAGGGCCAGGTTTGGGGAATAAGATTGGCCCCACAATCCTGAGGAGAGGGGCTTGAGGTTTCTAGGTCATCTGCCTGAGGACAGAAAGGTTTTCCCCAACCTCCTATTGCCCAGCATAAAGAACAAGGATCTGGGGTCTTAGAAACCATAGTCAAGCCTCCACAGGGAGATGTGTGACCCAAAAAGGGTGGACTCTGCTGTAAGCGAGCTCCAGGTTGGAGCCTACACCTGGCTCCACCTGGACCTACAGGATGATGGGGCCATACCCAGGAGGAGGGAGAACGGGAAGTGGAGAGAGTCAGGTATCCACTCATGCAATATGGATGGGGTAATGGAACACTGCACTTTACCCTCTGCTGATCCTGCTCCTGGGGCTTCCTGGTGCCAGGAACCACAGGCTCGGCTGCAGGGACATCACTGAAGGACAGTGAGGACCCCTGCCCCTTTTCCTCAGCCCCGCTGACTGCAAGGCCCTTCACCTGGGGGCACAAGGTCGCAGCAAGCCAGAGGAAGAGGTAGGAACTATGGAGCCTGCCATAAGTTCCTGGGGTTGGGGGAAAGGGGAATTTGGCAGTGAGAGGGGACAGGTAGAAGGGGCAAAATCCAGGACCGAAGATAGATGGGAAAGGGCCTATCTCCCCCTTTTTCATGGGGACCAAGGAGCATCCCAGAACACGGAGAGGTTGGAGAAAGACAAGTCAGGCTTTGAGCACCAGGGCCATCTGAGAACTGAACAGCTCGTTTCAACCACATCTCCCATCTCCTCATCGGCCTCTGCCCCTGAGTCCTCTCTGGTCCCTGCCCCGCCGTTCTGATGCTCTGTCTCCAGTCCTCGGGCTTTCTCTCCAACCAGCTGAGCCGGGGAGGATGAGCGTGGGGACACTGGCAGGGCTCGGAGCTCTGAGGAGACTAGACTGAGGGGCTGGGATCAGACTGAAAAGTCCAAGACCCAGAGGAGCTCCAGTTAAAACGGCTCTTTCCGGCTCAAGACCACGTTCCCTGCTTGCTGGGGACCCCATCCCTCTCCTCCGTGTGTGAAAGGATGGCAAAGGCGGAAGTGGAGGGGTCTCTCACTGCCCTGATTCCCCCTCCTGGCTCCCAATTTGGGAAGACAGATCCCGATCTGTCTCGGGACCAGTAGGTGAGGGGCCGGGTCCATCTCCCTTCTCTGATGTGTTCTCTCATGTTTGGCTCTTCTGTGTTTGTGTGTTTTCCTCCATGCGTCCCTCTCCCTGCACCTCATTCTGGTGGCCCCCCTCACAGAGCCGGGAGGAGCGTGTTCTCCGCCATGAAGCTCGGCAAAAACCGGTCTCACAAGGAGGAGCCCCAAAGACCAGGTAGGACAGGTGCCGCGTGAGCCCCGCAGCCCCGCGCCTCGCGGCGCCCTCCCGCCGCTTTCCAGCCCCTGCCCGGCTGCCAAAAGGCCCTCCTGGGATAGGTCGTCCCAGGGCCAGGCCCCACCCAGTGATGCGTGGCCCTCTAGGAAGGAGACGCCCTAGGGCCGAGGGAGGGAAACGGGCAGCGCCCTCTGTCGGGGGTGCCTGGTTACAAGGCTCCTCCCGCCCTCGTTGCTCCCGGTTCTTCCTTCTTCACGCAGAAGCCCAGTGTTTTAATTAGAGCAGAGAATATCCATCAAGAAACGCTGTTTGGCCAACTCCCTATTTCTGGGGGGAAACCGTTGTCCCACTAGTACGGGGTCGGCGGCAGGCCTCGCCCAAGCGCTCTCACCAGGCTGCAGCCTGGCCTTTGGGGAGGTCCTGGGGCCGCTGGAGGGCGCGGCAGGGCCGGGCCTGGGAGGCTGGAGCAGCAGGTGGCACTGGGCCCTCCCGGAGGAGCGACTGGAGAGGGGAAGACAGCTGCTGCAGAGGAGGCGGGAGGCCTGGAGGAAGACAAGGGGAGAAATGGAGAGGACAGGGGAGCTGGGAGGGGGCCATCTTCTCCATCACGGGCCCACCATCGGGGCTCCCGGCTGCCCTCCCCCAGCATCCCCTCTGTGGCCTACTGGCCCTCAGGCTCTCTCCCCCACCCTCTTGCCCCCATGCCAATTCCAGCCGTGCCCTTCACCTTCTTAAATGGAGAGAGTACAGCTGCTGGCTGAGGACCAAACCCAGCATCCTTGGGTGGCTGTTCGGAATCCACATGTCTGCATCTCATTAGATGAATACACACCAATGCATTAGGTTCTGAATTCCATCAGCTGTTTGATATGGATAAGTTACTTCCTAAGCCTTCGTTTCTGTACCTGTGACATGAGAATAACGCCCATCTTGGCAGGGCACAGCTCTAAGGACTAGAGATAGTCATGTAAAGTCCTGGTGTTGTGCCTGGAACAGAGAGTATCCACCCAACAAATGGTAGCTATTTATTGAGAGGTGCAAAAGTATGGATTCTTTATTCCCTACCTTCTTCCATAAGAGATATTCAGTGCCTAAGTAAGTGGTATACAATAAAAGAGCATTCAATTAAAATAAAAAGGCAAGACCAGACATAATGGCCATTCAAATCCAAGATCGGGATTAGGTAGAAAAACACTGCAGTTATTCAGGCCATAATATTCTAAGCGGTAGCAACTAAGTAAACCTCGAATTTAACTCTCAGCTTTCTGGATGCCAGAGTAAAAGGAGAAATGGTCACTATCTCACCATCAGTCAGCCCACCTAACCAGTCTTTCATCTTCCCCAGATGAACCGGCGGTGCTGGAGATGGAAGACCTTGACCATCTGGCCATTCGGCTAGGAGATGGACTGGATCCCGACTCGGTGTCTCTAGCCTCAGTCACAGCTCTCACCACTAATGTCTCCAACAAGCGGTGAGTGGACGGGAGCCCTGCAACCCCAGCTGCCCCCACCCTGTCAGGCAGGACCTGGCTTGCCATGATTGGAATTTGGGTAGGGAAGAATCAGGGCTCATGGACGGCTTCTTCCTAACCTAACCTTACCCTTTTCTGCTTTTCCTTGGGTGTTTTTCTCACCTCTCTCCCTGCAAAAGCAGAGCACAGCAGCTGCAGGCCTGTTCTCAGGTCCTTGAATACCTCCCAGCCCAAGGAAGCCACAGACCTGCCCACCCCATATTTGAACCTATTGACCCCATGTCTGTCTCTCTGTTACTTCTGCCTTTGATTAGTTCTCTGTGTTGAGGCCTCTGAAGACAACTAATCCTCACTATTCTTGGCAGTGCTTGAGTGTTTAAAGACCATGATTCTGTCCCTCTGCCCACTCCCAGGTCTAACCACTGCCAGTGTCCTCCTCCCCAACAAGCAGTCCCCATACCCCAGGCCTGATGGTACATTCTCTTCCTCAGATCTAAGCCAGACATTAAGATGGAGCCAAGTGCTGGGCGGCCCATGGATTACCAGGTAGGTGGGCACCTGGAGGCCTCATGTCTTTCAGACTCTGCTCTAGTGGGGGATTCTAGCCGGATGTGCATTATCCACTATACTGAGGCATGGATCCAGGGGTCATAGAGAACAACAAGCTGAATATAAGTTCCCAAAGTAAGCTTGTTCCTGGGAGGCATTCCTAGAAGTATCATCAGTAGAGAGATACAAACCCAAAGAAAAGCTTGAGAACTCTGCCTATGCTAATCAAAGCCCTTCCAGTATTTCATGTTCAGTATTGGACTTCATAAAGTGAGAAGCACCTAGAAAAACCATAAAGAGACCAAGAACTACAAAAAAGTATTCAAACAGTTAAAATAAGGGCCTTTGAAGAAAGTTTTCCTGGCATGATTTTTAAATTGTTGTTTTGTATTATTTGATTGCTGGAAGTAATGACGATTCTGTTTATCTCTGGATGGTGAGACTGTGAGTGATTTTTTTCTTCTTTTTGCTTCTCTGTATTTTCTGAGATTAACACAACTTTTTTATTTGTGTGCTTCTAAGACCAGAGACAAAAGACTGAGACAAAGAGAGGTTGACAGCTGTAAGAATGTGAATGTGGCCAACAGTGCAGGCAGGACAGGTGATGAGCATGTCTGGTGGCTGCTGGGACACCATCTCTCAGGAAGGGCCCAGGGACCCTCCATTGCTCCAGACCCTCCCTTGGAGGCTAACAGGACTCAGCTATAAATCAGAAGACTGCTGGGCTTTCCTAGGATTGAGTTAGAATGCTGGCTGCTCAGAGGGGACAGGGCTTGCAAGAGATCTCACCTGGCTGCCACTGCACTTCTGTCCTGGGGATGTTCGGTCTGGGTATCAGCACCAGGCCCCAGAATCAGAGTGAGCCCCATCTACCAGGGTAGAGCTTTATCTCTGATGCCTAGTTCCAGACCCCAAGCACACTAACCCTTCTTTACGGACAACCCCACCTCCCCTCACTCAGGTGATGATGGAAAGGATAAGATGGCACTTTTCTATGTAAAAGGTACATCTGGCCATGTTTTCTCCAGAATATACTTCATCTCCCTTCATCTTTGTTTTAGTTAGTTTCCATCTACTCAGGCAACTGTCTTCCCAGGTGCCTGAAAAACAGCCCCAGGCAATGTCAAACGGACCTGCCCCTGTGGTTTTAAATAACTTCAAGCCATTGGATTCCTTAGGGGTTTGAGAATGCCGGCCCCTCACCTCTGCCAAAACCCAAACACAAAGTGTCCTGAGACTTCCGAGGGCTTTTCCAAGGGATTGGGCTCAGGGCTTTGTTTCTCTGTGTGCTGAGAACTGGAGAATTCCAAAGAACAACGACCCCAACTCAGGTATCATGTCACTGGCCTAAGAGGTAAGGACACATCAAAAATAGAGTCATTATTGTTCATGAAACTTATTTTTGAAGGTTTATTCTATGCCAGGCACTGTGCTAGGAGCTATATATGTATTTCCATTGAAGTTAATGTAATTCTTCAACCACCCAAATATAGGTGTTACTGCATTTATAGGTAAGAAAGTGAGGCCCCAGGAAGGTCAGGAACTTGTCCCAGGTCGTTGCCACTAAGTTAGCCAAGGTTAGAGCCAGGGTTCAAGGCCAGGGGTGTCTGGCCATAGCCATAAGAGCAATTGACTTCTCTATATCAAGCCTTCTAGACAGCTGCTCCCTTCGGGTCCCTGGTTCATCTTCATCTTGCTACTTAGTGCTTGTTTTCCAAACCTTTTCAAACTGCCTCCTACCAGAGACTTTTATTAACTGGACCAGACATTGTCCCCTCCAAAGACTTTTTAAACCGAACTGAACAAAACGGTTGTTGTATTTAACCTGGTAGCATAGTGTTTCCCGACAAGTTCATTCACAATTAACCTTGCAAACATTTGAGTGAGAGCTATGAGGATGCAAATGTGAAATTATTTTCACTTCCAATACATACAGTGTATAATGCAATAAAAGCAGGCCGGGTGCAGTGACTCATGCCTGTAATCCCAGCACTTTCAGAGGCCGAGATGAGTGGATTGCAAGACCAGCCTGGCCAACATGGTGAAACCCCGTCTCTACTAAAAATACAAAAATTAGCCAGGCATGGTGGTGGCGCATACCTGTAATCCCAGCTACTTGGGAGGCTGAGGCAGGAGAATCACTTGAACCCAGAAAGTGGAGGTTGTAGTGAGTCGAGACCGCACCACTGCACTCCAACCTGGGCAACAGAGGGAGACCTTGTCTCAAAAGAAAATTAAAAATAAATAAATAAATAATAAAAAGCAATAAAACCAGATACGACTTCACTCTCTTGGAGACTTTGGGTTTGATGAGATATAAAGACCGCAGGAAGGACACCTCGTTGGTGAGATGTGGGGAGACTTAGCTGAACTCAGATCCAGGAAGGGTTGTGAGGGCTCAGGACCATTCTAAAGGTTATGGCACTGAAAGAAGCCTGGAGGTAAAAGGACCGCGGCGTACCCATGCTCTTTGTTTCTTCCATTTAGAATGCACGTCACGTGTAAACTCTTTCCTGATTATTGCCATCTCCAAGGCAAGAAACCACAGTCACCCCCCTGTGAATGTGCAGTTTCCCCACCAGAGTGAGCAACGCTTGGCACTTGGCAGAGATGTTCTTGGTGGATCAAGGGGTCTTGAGTCTCTTTATTACCATCTCTTCCTGGCACCAAGACTTAATACATTGTCACCCAACATCTCTCCAGTTTTCACCTCCATTTCATGCCCCTGCCACTGACCTGAGGTCCCCAGCCTCAACTGCATGGTTGTACCTACTTTCTACCTGGTCTCCCTGCCCTCATATTGCCTCCTCCACTCCAAACTCCATGCCACCACTGGAGCAAACTTCTGAAAATGCAAATCTGGTCATGTCACATCTCTGCCACCTGGAAAAGTGGGGAGTGGGTAATGGATGTTGCAGAAGGACAGTACTAAAGGGCGCACCAACTCTCATCTCTGGCTCCCAGCAGATGTTCCTGAAGCTGGATCAGGTCCCTGGGAAGCAGGTCACAAAGCATTATTACTCTCGGGTTTTCCCAGGACAGGGGTATAGATTTACCACTCAGCATTATTCCTTGTGATCGCTTTCATGAAGCCACTGGGGAGTATGTCCCTTATCTTGAAAGGAGATGGTGGAATAGTCAGCTGGTCAGTTGGTCCCAGCTGTGGCTCCGTTTGCCTCTTCATCTTCCACCCTGGAAAAATTGAGTCCTCTGCTGATGATTGGAGAGAAGGATGGCCAAGCCCCTCCCCCAGAACCCTGGAGAATGACCAGCCATTTTTTATTTTTTATTTCAAGTGCATCATTTCCCCTTCCTAGAGCCCCAGGAGGGGTGGGAGGCAGCAGGAATGGCATTCCCCTTCCCCCAACACCATGCGCCTGGTGGTCTTTCTCCAGCGCCCTCAGCTTCCTCTCGGGGCTGCCCTTCAACCAGCAATGAGCACCCTCTGGAGCTTCTCTTCCCTCCGTTGCTCCTTCAAGCCTCTGCCCACCTTCCCCTCCACCCTCCGCCTCTACTGCCAGAGCTTCTGCCCAGGTTGTCACCTTCACTGGCTCTGCTACATGGAGGAAGGGAGAAACGTATGAGGCCTGAAAAGGGGGACAGGGAGAAGTAGCCTGTCTTATGGCCATGCCTCGAGATGGAAAACATAAAAACCAACCACTCTCTTGGCAGTGGGAAGAGGACTTGCTGCTGGCTTATCTTCGGTAGATGCCAAAACTATGTCTGTCCGCTTCCCAGTCCTGAGTTATAGAAAGCCTTTTTTATTGTTGGTGGGGGCATTAGTTGTGGAAAAATTCATGGGGTTTTTAAAAATCTTTGGCAAAAAAGGGTTCGTGGAAGTTAAAACTCTACAAACTATTGTGCAAAGAAGGACTTCTAGTGTCCGTTTGCTCTCTTCATAGTAAACTTCTCAGAGCTAAGTTAGTTAGTCCTATTTCCTTTTTAGCTCCCTGAAGGAGCAGTGAATATTGAACTTCTGTGAAGCTCCAGATTCTAAGCTTTTACTTCCGTCCCTTTGTCACTTCACGTTCCAAACGGAAATGTTTGCTTCCTAGTTCAAGTGTCACTTCATTTGTAAATATCCCCTTTCCTGGCAATGTTCTCATTAACATTGGAATTTCTATTTCCTTAACATGATTACTTCTGATGTGTAGATTTTTAATCACCCTCAGGTTATTTTTCAGACTTTGATGGACACTGGATGATCATTTTAGTGGTTATTCTTTTTCATGGAAAGGGAAGATAATTCTCTCAAGTAAAGTCGTATTTAGAAGTTGCATCAAAGCACAACTAAAATATGAAATCTCCAAGATGACAGGCATGAAAAGCAACCTTCGGAGTCGCATTAGAAGAATGTGCCGGGCTCAGTGGCTCACGCCTGTAATTCCAGCACTTTGGGAAGCCAAGGCAGGTGGATCACGAGGGAGACTGAGACCATCCCGGCCAACATGGTGAAACCTCGTCTCTACTAAAAATACAAAAATTAGCCGTGCGGTGGCAGGCGCCTATAATCCCAGCTACTCGGGAGGCTGAGTCTGGAGAATAGCTTGAACCCGGGAGGTGGAGGTTGCAGTGAGCCTAGATCGTGCCACTGCACTCCAGCCGGGGCAACAGAGTGAGACTCTGTCTCAAAAAAAAAAAAAAAAAAAAAAAAAAAAAAAGAAGAATGTACAGAGGTCCATGCTTATTCTAGCTGGGGAAAGGCTTTTCTTGTTAAAACACACGTTTGAGAGAGGCAAGTGAATCAATCATTCTAAGTATCATGCACAAGCTCCCTACTTGAGAGATCAACCGCTTAGCTGAAGGGAGATTCTGTTGGGGTCACTCACATTTTGTAGAGCTTTCTGCTGTTTAGGATGCATTTTGACACACATGATCTCATTTAACCTGCATACAACCTTACAGGTAGCTGGTGTCTCTGCTTGTAACTGAAAAACACAAGGCTATGTGGTCATTTGCCCTCACACCTGGCAACATGTCAGGTCTGGGGTTCAATCCCAAGTTCAGCAACCCCCAGTACATGCCTCTGTCTATCTTAACATGGCCACCCTGACAGGAACTGACACCTCCAAATCCAAATGAGACCTGATGGCTTAAAATGAGGGTTCGGGAAAAGTAGTAGTGATGTCAAAAATTACTGGTGCTCTGGCTCTCTCTCTCTCTGTCTCTCTCTCTGTCCTTATATCTTTTTAGCTTAAAAAGCCAATAATTGGCTGGTCACAGTGGCTCGTGCCTGCATTCCCAGCACTTTGGGAGGCCAAGGCAGGCAGATCACCTGAGGTCAGGAGTTCAAGACCAGCCTGGCCAACATGGTAAAACCCAATCTCTACTAAAAAAAAAATACAAAAATTAGCCGGGCGGGGTGGCATATGCTTGTAATCCCAGCTACTTGGGAGGCTGGGGCAGAAGAATCGCTTGAACCCAGGAGGTGGAGGCTGCAGTGAGCTGAGATCATGCCACTGCACTCCAGGCCTGAGTGACAGAGAGAGACTCAGTGTGAAAAAAAAAAAAAAGCCATTAATCATTTGTGGTAAGCTCCACAAGGAAGAATTTGTTGCAATCCCACCTGTGCCTGGCTCCAGCAGGTTTCCAGGAAACATTTGTTGCATGAATGAACAACTGAAATAGGGCTTCCCAGGATATAAGTAAGATTGCAGAGCTGGACGCCACATAAAGGACACAGCAGAGTGCACACAACATACAATCAGTAGGCTGAAAAAGGCGGCTCAGGCAGGCACCAAAGCCGCACTGGCCATACAAACAAAGAAATTCAGCAAACAATGTGGAAAGGGGGGGGAGCCAAATTCCAGAAATGCAAAGACGTATCAGAGGCCTGCAGGCTTACATGAGAATTCCTGGAGCAGGAAATTAAATGCAAGTTAATGAAGACTTTGAAAGCTTTATTCCTGAGTGCATGAAACCTGTGACATGGGTTTGGCAGCTCTTTCTGAAGCAGAGCCATCGACGCTGGGGAAGAACGCAGGGCACTTGGCATCACCTAGGAGCTTTAAAAATACAGATTCCAGCCTGGGCACGGTGGCTCATGCCTGTAATTCCAGCACTTTGGGAGGCCGAGGCAGACAGATCACTTGAGGCCGGGAGTTTGAGAACAGCCTGGCCAACATGGCAAAACCCCATCTGTATAAAAAAGACAAAAATTAGCCCGGTGTGGTAGTGCATGCCTGTAATCCCAGCTACTCAGGAGGCTGAGGCAGAAGAATCACTTGAACCCAGGAGGCAGAGGGTTGCAGTGAGCCGAGATCATGCCACTGCACTCCAGCCTGGGCAACAGAGTAAGACTCCATCAAAAAAATAAAAATACAGATGCCTGAGCTGCATGTCCAGGATTGGATTGGATTGGTCTGGAGGTGGCCTGGGCATCAGTGTTTTTAATGCCTCTCCCTCCCTTCGGCCCAGCAAGTTAAGTCTAGTGAACACTGACTTAGAGGTTAGCCAACTCATACTCCTCTATAAATGAAGACACTTGAGGCATAGAAGGAGAAAGAGCCAGGATCACCCAGCAGATGAGAGGCAGTGGTCAGAATGGAGCCCAGGAGGCCAGTGCTGGCTCCCGGGCCCTCCCTCTGACCCTGCTGCCCCAGCCCCTGGACCCCTGCGGGACCAGGCTCCTAGGCTCAGGCAGCTTTCCTTCTGGCTCCCCCTTCTCCTGCCTGCAGGTCAGCATCACGGTGATCGAGGCCCGGCAGCTGGTGGGCTTGAACATGGACCCTGTGGTGTGCGTGGAGGTGGGTGACGACAAGAAGTACACATCCATGAAGGAGTCCACTAACTGCCCCTATTACAACGAGGTCAGTGGCCCTGTGGGGAAAGGAGCCTCTGTAAATATGGCAGGAGGGTGGCCCCAGCCCTCCCCAGGAGAAATAGGAGTGGCTGGAAGTCAAGGAGCACACAGGGCTACCAGCAGGGGTGATCCACCCTGTTACAACCCCCAGGACACTGACAAACAGAGCCACATCTTCTGAATCCTCTGAACCCCCCAGTCTAGAGCACAGGCCGACACTGGTCTTTGAAGCGTACACCACCCGGGTGCTCCTGGGCAGACCCCAGCAGTGCCTGTGAAAGAACCCCCCCCCACCCCACTCCCCAAGAGGCCTGGTTCCCACTGTTTCCCAGGCCAGAGCCCAAGGACAGGGCTGCCTCATTCCAACCCATGGTGGCACTGGCACCATTAGTAAGCACTTTCTACCAGCCAGGCATGCTCCTAAATGCTTCTGAACTGGACCATCCAAAGTTGTCACTATCAATTCCCTTTTACACAAGGGGACAGTGAGACTTCTGAAGGCAGACCTTGTCCAACCTCACAGTGCCAGCATCGCCCTTGGCGTGCTAGTGGGGTTCTGCCCTCTTGGCTCGGCTCCTTCATGGTTGCCTAAACTTCTGCGGGCTTCTCTCCAGAGCACTGGCCTTGATTTTAGGGTGTGAAAGAGAAAACATTTGGTACCCACTCCTATTCTTTCCAGCCATTTGAGGCCACATCAAGGGTGAGGGACCTCAGAGACCTTCTACTTTAATCTCCCCATCTTACAGAGGAGGATACTGAGGCCTCCATATGGAAGGGCCTTGCCCACAATCTCAGAGAGTGTTGCTGATAGAGCAGGGGCCAGGCTGCCCACCCAGCTTCCAGCCCAGGGCTCTGGCCACCATCACAAATATGGCACCTTGGTTCCCAGGCTCCAGATGGGACCCCATCATAATCAGCTCTGGGGAGGGATGTGAGAAATAGAGAAATACACTCACTCATCAAAACCCAAAGAATGACTTAGAGGCATGAAGAACAGCGAAAGTGAGACTTTTAATAACGGTCTTGCAAGATGGAGTGTCTGGTAGGCAGGCACCCCTGGGGCAGTCACAACAGGAATTTATCTCCTAGTGTGCAAGTCCCTCCCCCACTTCCCCATTGGTTGAGCACTATGGGGTTACAATCTTCCCTGACGTCGCCTAAGTTTCATTTTCCCCCTTACAAGGTTATACCCCGCTCCCCTTCGATTTCCCCACTTAAGTTTCGATTTCCCAATAACAAAACTTTCTTCCCTTTCATGGGCTGACCCCTCCTCTACATTCTGTTCGCTTATTGTGTCCTTCTAGGTGCATGAGCCGTGTGGTTTGTTGCATTCGCAGGTTGGATGCCAGTACTTAGACTTATCCTGCCTTGAAAATGGACCATTGAAAATGTTTTCTCACCAGGATGCCCAGGCCTTTCCCAGATGCCTGATCACACATCAGACTAACCCAGAAGCCACAGGCCTGGGCCCTGCCATCCCTTTCCTGGAGGGTTCCCCAGTCTGTTTCTCCTGGTGGCTCCAGGCAGTGAGGGGTGCCAGGCTGTCCCAAGTAAGGCAGCTGAGTCCCGTACCCTGAGGTGGGTGAGGGCTGAGGTGCCCCCTGTAGCTTGGGGGAGGGCATTTCTCAGGCAGCTCTGAGAGTCCTCAGACTGTGCACCTGCAGGAAGAAAACCCAGGCCCACCTCTGCCCTTCAGCCCAGGCCTGGCCGAACTCTCCTTTGTGACCACAAATTGACTCTGCTCTCCCAGCTGCTTTCCCACAGGCCCCCCGAGCTGGACAACCTGCTCAGGACCCCTCCAGCCCCAAGGACATTCAGGATTGACATCTCTGGCCTTACGTTAGGACACATCCTGACTGGACAAGTCTCCGCCTAGATAAGCATCTATGTCCCCAAGACAGGCATGGAGACAGGTCCCTGTGGCCCCGGTGGTTACTTGATAGCAGTGAAGCCACTTCTGCTAACTTAAGGGATCTCCCTCCACCAGGCCCACACACCTTGGCTTTCATTCAAATTACTTCCTCTTTCCCAAGGGCACAGAGCTGCTCTCCCTACTCTGTGGCTCCCCCAGAAAACTCCTACTCACCCGGCAGGGCCCAGCTCAAATGTTCTTGCTACTGAGCAGCCTTGCCTGCTCTGTCTGGGTCAGAGGTCAGCACTCCCCTTTCTCTGCAGTGTTAATGTCCTGGAGTTGAGGTTGGTCCTCCGTGTCTCTGTCCTGCTGGTGGACTGGAGGCTCCCAGTCTCCTGCCTCGCTATTTGTTCAGAGCCAGGCATGTACTCGGAGGGGTTCAGTAACACTCACCCAAAGGAAGACACAAACATCCACTGAGCATCTGCCGCACACCAGACAGTGGCACGTGGGGCAACATGGAGGCTGCCGAGATGAAGGAGGCACAGTTTCCGCCCTGCGCAGGTCCCCTCCTTGTTTCAGCCTAGAATCTTTCTAAATTCCCTATTTACTTCCTCTAAGACTGACTATTCATTCTGCTCATCTTTGGACAATCTTAAATGTGTTTCTGATCACATTTTTGTTCTTTTTCACAAACCCAAATAGCTCTGATTTTGTTTCTGTTTCCTCTAAACTAGGGTTTCTCAAACTCAGCACTATGGTATCTTGGACTGGATAATTGTGGTGGGATCGTCCTGTGCTGTGTAGGATGTGAGCAGCATCCCTGGCCTCTACCCAGTAGATGCCAATAGCAACTCCCCTTAGTTACAGCTACCAAGTTTCCAGACATGCCAAATGTCCCCTGAAATCGCCCTCAGTTGAGACCACCATTCTAAACTATCTTACTATGATTCCTTCCAGCCCCAAATCAGCCTTTCCAGCCCCAAAGCTTTGTTTCCCTTTTCTTCTCTTTCTATGCCACATTCCTTTTCAATGAAGGACATCCTCCTCGTCGTGGGAATGTATTATTTCTGACTAATTATCTGAGCTGGTAGGAACCTTCCTTTGGCTCCATTAAAACAACAGAGGGAGGTGGGAACAATCAACATGACTTAGGTATCTAAGCTATTACAAAAGGAAAATATGCTCAGGAAATAACAGGAATTTGATTGCAGACAGCTCAGAGAGTTCGGGATTCTGGCTCTAGCTCAGCTAGCTCGCTCCCCTGGGGCTGGCACATCTGCGGGCACCTGGCCTGATCACCCTGCCTGGCCCTGAGCCTGCCTGTGTGCAGGGAAGCTCAAAACCTTTGCCCTTCCGGAACAAGCTGGCCATTCACAAACCAGACTAAGGCTCCTTTCCTGTGTGTCCTGTGTGTGCATCTGGCCCCGCCCTGGGCATCTTGGGAGCGCCACCATCCTTCCTCCTGCTGAAAATCCACCTCTCCCCTTTGCCTTGGATCCTTCTCTTTCTACAGCTCAAAGAACCTGGCATTGCACAGCCCAACTCTGTCTTTGTTTTTCTTCCAGCCCCTTCTTCCTTGCCTATAAGGTGTTCTACTCCAGCATATGCTAAGTACAACCATGAAGACCCATGTGTGCTCAAGGACAGGAACTAGGAGTCTGTCACCTCTCTCTGGGCCTTTCCTCATTCCCACACACTTCTCCAGTGACCTCCTTTTTCCCTCCACCCCTCCACAGTCAGACCACTTGGGTTGTCCTCACTTCCTCCCCCCAGTCACCCCTCAATCTCTGCAGGGTTTCTGCCTCCAGATGTCATTGACACTGCTCTCCTCAAGGTCACCAAGGACATTGCTGTTCCTGAGTATAATGTCCATGTCATCCTCCTCTCCCTTGATCACCCAGTTTCTTTCATCCCGCTGCCTGCTGCTCCTCTTGGGGGCCCCTCACGCCACTCTCCTGCTTCCCCTGTCTCTCCAGCTCCATCTCCCCGGCCTAACTTCTTGGCTGAAAGGCTGTGTCTTCTTGGAGCCCTGACCTGGGCCTGCTTCCCCTCCCATGCTCTCCCCAGGTATCTCCTCCATCTCCAAGGTGTCAGTTACCATCTTGTGCTGACGATTCCCAAATCCATATCCCCACCCGCCTCCCCAGAGCTTCAGAACTCTGGCCAGCACACCCTGGGCCTGTTAGTGTCATGCACAGCTGTCGCTGCTTGCTATGTGCTTACCGTGGTGCACACCTGTGTTAAAGACTTGACCAGGGTGTCTCATTGCAACTTCACAACCACACCTTGAAGCCCCCCAAGTGAATGGCACCCCTGGAGCAGTTCAGCACGACAGCCCTGGATCATATCTCCACATTCATAGGATAATAGGTAAACTGAGGCTCAGGCAAGAAAGTGAGTGATCTAGCAGTAACAGCCAGGTGGGGCTGGCTCTGAAGCTGGCTTTACCCTCAGTGCTCAAGGGCCAGCCCCCAGCAGCCAGGAGCACGTTCTCTTCGGACATTTACCCCAAGCACATTGGAAATATTTCTCCCTTCTCCCCCACCACAGTTCACCAAAGCAGCAGCCCCTCTACTCACTGCCCCACACCCTCATCCTCAGCACCTGCACACCCAGGCCAGGGGAAGAGATGGGGACTGCAAATGTGCATGGCAGCCCACAGCACCAAAGGACAGTGCACACCCATGGCATTTCACATCGACTGCCAACTAAGTGCTTGGCACACCATGGTTCATCTGCTCTGAGGCTTGCGTTATTTTACAGTTTCACCTCTCTGAATTTGGGATGTGTCTCCTAGGCAGCCTTGTGGCTTCATGGCAATGTCCATGTGGCTTATTAAACCGTAGTATATCTTACAGCCAGTAGCCACTTTAGATTTGGTAAAATATGTTACACTGTCTCATCAGAGCCTCATAACAAGACTCTGAGGTGGGTGTCATTATCCCCATTTCACAGCTCAAAAAACTGAGGTTCAGAGAATGTGTTGCTCAAGGCCACACAGTTAAGAAGGTGCAGAGCGGGGACTAGAACCCAGGTCTGCTTGCTCCCTGGCCCTGTGCCTCTTCTGAGCACAGTACAAGGGCATGGGCTGTCCCACCTACTGTTCCAAGTTCCTTTCCCACCCCACACTAGCCAGCACCAGCCCCACCTAGGGGATGGGGCTCTGCTTCCTACCACCCACCACCAGGGTCAATCAGGATCAGATGAGTTGCCTCTGCTGCTCCTCTGAACTTTGGGGCTCAGGGCAAATGTCTGGGGTGCAGACAGGCCCTGCGAGGAGGGAGGGGCCCAACACTGCCTGGGCTGTTGCTGCTGCCCTCAGTGACAGCAGGCCTGGATCCTTCCCCCTCCAGTACTTCGTCTTCGACTTCCATGTCTCTCCGGATGTCATGTTTGACAAGATCATCAAGATTTCGGTGAGTGGGGAGCAGCCCCTGGCCGGCAGGGCCACTCCCTCAAACTGCACCTTTGTGCAGACTTGAGAGGGGCCCCCTCTGTCTAGACCCATGATAAAGAGGCAGCGCCGTGCCTGGACACACGGCTGGGCAAGTAGGGACAGGCTGGATTCTGGCCCCCACCCACCCCTTTCATTGGATGCCTCTGAATAGTGCATTCGCCCGTAAACAGTGGCCAGCAAGAAACTGGCGTGGGCAGGAGGAGCTGATGCTGAGCCTCAGTGAGCCACCCCACTCTGCCAACGCCCTCCCACTTCACCACAAAGCTCGGGTCCCACCACTGCCCCATGGAAAGCCTCACCCTTGCTGGGCCTGACGGGTGGGCTGTGGTTCTGCCTGAAAGGTGATTCACTCCAAGAACCTGCTGCGCAGTGGCACCCTGGTGGGCTCCTTCAAAATGGACGTGGGAACCGTGTACTCGCAGCCAGGTGAGTACCTGCGCATGGCCAGTCAGTCGAGGTGTGCATGGCTCAGGGAGCGTGGTGCACGGGGCCCTTCCCACTGTGGCAGTTCCTGGGAAAAGGCTGGCAAGGACCACAGTCTGGCGACTGTTAGTACACACAGCCATCTGGCCTGCGGAGAAGTGGCGCGCACAGTCTGTACACAAATGCAGTGAGCAACTGCGCACCCAGTCTGGTGGGTTCTCACTCATAATTAGGTGAGTAACTCTGCACAGAGCCTGGAAGGAGCTTCATCACACGCTCTGGAGTGCATGGCAGGCTGGTGCATCACTGGCCATAGGCAGGCTGACCAGTAGTGGTAGAGGATGCGGTGAGGGAGACCCGTCACAGCCTGCAGAGAGGCTGCGCCCAGACTCCTGCCTCCTGGGCTGGCACCTGCTGAGCAGAAAAGAACCCCTTTCCACCCCTCACAGGACCCTGCCGTCCCCTTTTACAGTTGAGGCTCAGAGCCAGGGCTTGCCCCAGCCACACAGCTGGCCGGGGGTGAAGTCAGGCTGTGTGTCCCCAGAGCCTCACTGAGCCACACTATCCAATCTGAAAGCGGTGATGCTGGTCAATGCCAGATGTAGTGCGGCGGCCTCTGAGGGACTCTGGTCTCTGAAAACACTTCTTACAAGAGCCCCAGGCTTTTGGGCAGCCATGTGTGCTCCGTGGCGTCCTGTAGGGTAACAGCAATGGTGTTGGCAAGGGAACCCCAAGGGGTGGCCCAGAGGGCTTGTGAGGTGGGCCAGGCAGAGGAAGTGCCTCAGCCTGCCAGATGACAGCTCACCACGTGGGCAGGTTAGGGACCACCCTGTGTCCCTGAAGTGAATGCACTGCTCAGAGTGCTGTAATGACCCCATTAGGCGCTTTGACAGTGAGAACATAATTTCACCCAATTGTCACATTGGGCCCTCACAAAACAGTAATGTAGGCAGCAGCATTTCTTCCCATTTTGCACATGAGATAAATGAGGCTAAGAGAAATGAAGGGGCTTAGAGATACCACTAAACTAGTAGGTTGAACAAATTGGCGATCGCTTGTGGTTCAACCTAAGAGACGTCCAGCTGGTGCACATTACAACTATGACTTAGACCAGGGAATCTGAGTCCAAAACCAAGATTATACACATAAAAATCACAAGATCATAGAACACTCAAGCTGCCCAAGACCTGAAAAACATCTAGTCCAGCCTCTGTGAAGATAAACTGAAGCCCAAGGTGATGAAGGGGTTTGTCCACCATCTAGGAGTAGCACCCCTGTCTCCAGCTCCCAGGCCAGTGCCTTTGCCACCACCCCACACATGCCATAGCCCTCAGCGGAGGGCAGCCCTGCTGACCATCAGTGCCATGGGGAGCAGGGAAGAGTCGGCCTCCTGCCATGTTGCTTTCCAGGAAGCATGCATAGCCGTGGACTACTTGCTTGGAATGACTGGCATCCCTGAGGATAAGCTCCTCCCAGGGCTGAGCAGTGGCCCTGGTACCACTGGCAGGCCTGAGGCCGAGAGCCAAGAGAAAGTCAGGGGGTGGAGAAAAAGGCAGATATTAGTCTAATATGGACCTCTGGGCTTCTGGGTAGTAAAGTCCTGGTGAGGAAACCACCAGGGCATCAGTAAGTGCCAGATGTTGGGCTAAGCTCACTGTCCCAGCAGGCCTCACCCTCACGACCCCATATAGGCATCATTCCCATTTCACCATAAGGAAACTGAGGCTCAGCAGGCTTAAACAGCTGGTCCAGGGCCACATTGTGAGTAAGCGGCAGAAACAGGATGTGGGCCGAGGTCTCCACTTGGGTAACCTAGCTCGAGATTTGCTGCTTCTGCTGAATCCAGCCCTGAGCCTGGTGCCCTCCCAGGGACAGGAGAGCCTGAAGTCACATGGGTCCTGGAGTTGAGACCCAATGTCTTTACTCTGATATCTCCAGTTTGGCCTGAACTTCTTGATGAGTCGTTGGTTCCAGCCAGGGCATTGTTGGACAGCATGCTCCCAGAGACACTCCTGGGTGCTGCTGGGAAGCTTTGGGTGGTGTCGATATCTCTTGGAACTGGAAGGGGTTTCCCGAGAGAACCTCTTCTCACCCTGGCAGGACCACATTTTGTCATTTGTACCACCAGATGCAACATCAGGAAACTGTTTACTGTTTGCTACTCTCTGTTGGGGGTGAGGACGGGCCATACACTCATCCTCATAGATCATAGAGGAAGTCAGGGGCATACACTCATCCTCATAGATCATAAAGGAGGTCTGGGATGCAGCAACTTCCCCAGCTGGGCTACCCTTGACTGGCAGGTGTCAGCCCCAGGCTGAAGGGAGGTGAAATGATGTTTCAGGCTGGTAAGCATATAGCTCAGGATCTCATGTGGTCCTTGTATCTCTAGCCTGAGATCACACAGTATTAGGACTAGAAGGGCCTCAGAAGTCATGAGTCAAGTGTTAACCTGATGTAGGGACCCCCACAGCACCATCTCTGATTGGTCCTCTAACCTTGCTTAGTCCTCCCAGAAATGGGGCACTCACTACTTCTTATTTTAGATATCTTCACTTTCTTTAGGTCATCTCAAAATCTGTCACCCTGTAACCTTCACCCACTTTCACACGTCTCTCTTTCAGGACAAAAAGAAAAATAGCCTTTAAATTTGAAGGTAAATTTTACATTCCTCCTGAACCGTATTCTCTTTCTTTGCTAAATGTCCCCAATTCATCTAACCATGCACACCTCTATACATCTACCCCTGTATCCATCCATCCACTCACCCACCCATCTACAAATCCATCCACCCACCTGTCCACAGATCCACCCACCCATCCATGTATCCATCCATTCACGCACCAATCCATATATCCATTGGTCCACCCACCCACCCATCCGTGAATCCATCCACCCACCCACCCGCCTGTCTACAGATCCACCCACTCACCCATATATCCATCCATCCACCCACCCACCCATCCATATATCTACCCACCCATCTATCCACAGATCCATCCACCTACCCACCCATCCACAGATCCACCCACCCATATATCCACCCATCCACCCACCCATCCATATATCTACCCACCCACCTGTCCACAGATTAATGGCTCCTTCTATCCAGTAATCCATTCACCATCTGTCCGTCTATCTCTCAGCCGGCCAGGCAGCTCACCACCCATCCCTCTGCCCATTTATGCACCCATTCATTGAGCTTTCTGTCCATCTCCTCATCCGACACACATCTGCTCTGGCAAGACCTGAAGCTCCTGGGATTCCTGGGACATGGCCCCTCCCTGGAGGCCTGCCAGCCTGGCTGAGGTTCTCCAGTGACTCCTCATCCACGTGCCTTCCTGCCCTCTCACCTTGCTTGTCCCTCTCTTCAGACTCTACTGTGGCATTATCTTTTCTGAGACACAGGTGGCCTGGCTATTCCCAGAAAGGCCAACCTCTGTACACAGCCCCTAACATCTCCGGGAGCCCACCAGGGCCACAGGCTTGCAGGACACAGGCCTGGGCTACGGTAGAAGGTGGAAGAGGAGGGAGTGAAGGAGGGAGGTGCTGAGTCCCTGAGAGTTCAGTGCCCACCTAACATCCCGGGAAGCAGATTCCTAAGGCACAGTGATGCGCTTCCCTTTGCTTGCCCACTGGGCTTAAAGTAAACCTGAAGGGGCAAATCCTTCCTAAAGCGCCTCCTTCCCTGACATCCGTCCTTTCCTCCACACAGTCATAGGTCATGGGACACTGGGATGAGACTGACAATCCCTGTCTTTAGGAGACTCTCAGTCTAAAATCAGAGCCAAACAATACCCAGATCAGCACAGTGAGATGGGAGGTGTGCATGGAGAGCACAGAGAACAAACACTAAAGAGCCCAGGATCAACTCTTCCGAGGAAGTCAGGGAGGGCTGCATGGAGGAGGAGAGACTTGAGCAAAATGAGTAGAAGTTTACAAATTGAATAGGGAGAAAGACAGGTGGAGGTGGAGAGAACAGGAATGAGGGCATTCCAAGCTCAAAGAGCAGCAGATGCAAAGGCATGGAGGTATAAAAGGGCATATAAAACCGCAACACCTGTTCAGCAAGGAGGAACACAGGGCTGGGTGGGCTCAGCAGAGTGAGTCAGGGAGCACTAAATCAGGAGCCTGCAGGCCATGCCTTTTGTCTTCACCCCAAGGCACTGGGAAGCCCCAGAGGGGCTGAAGATGGGGAGCAGGAGCATGAGCCTCCACCTGGGAAGGCCCTGTGTGCAGCTGTGTCCTTCACAGCTATGTGAAGGCTGGCTGACTGGGGTGGGGCCATAGAAGAGGCCACAGGCAGAAAAACCCAATTAGGAGGAGGCTGTCGTGCTTCCAAGTCACACCACTCATGGGATATATGTCCATGGGCAGGCCATGCACCCACTGCCCCAGCTCCAGAGGACCTCAGACTCTATCACACCCTGGGCTAGGGACAGGCAGAGCTGTGGCCCCAGGTCCCGGGACTCTAGGGACCAAGACAGCATTTGGTTCTGCCACCCCTTGGCCTGCCCTGAGCACTGGGAGACGCTCTGGGTGGGGGTGTCTGGTGCAGTGCCCACCCCTCATCATTGCAGAGCACCAGTTCCATCACAAGTGGGCCATCCTGTCTGACCCCGATGACATCTCCTCGGGGCTGAAGGGCTACGTGAAGTGTGACGTTGCCGTGGTGGGCAAAGGGGACAACATCAAGACGCCCCACAAGGCCAATGAGACCGACGAAGATGACATTGAGGGGTGAGGCCCAGCTACCCCAGCCCCTGGAGTCTGAGCCAGCCCTTCCTTCCCCCAGGGAGCCCCCGGTGAGGGTTTGCTGAGAGCACCTGCCACCCGTCTCCCTCACCCTGCTCTCGCTCACTCTCCCAAGCAGCCCCACTCTTCCGAGGCAGGGCAGGGGCAGGGGGTGATGGAGGATGGCTGAGAATATCAGTCCTTTGACATCCTTTCTGCCAGTGAGAAATGGGTTGAGAAGAGTCGATGCTGGCAGACCAGAACCAGCAGCTGCTGGGTCCTGAGTATAGCAGCAGGAAGTGCTGGGAGAGCCAAGGTTTCTTCTGGTGTGCCAATTCCAGGCAGCTGATAGCAGCTGTTGAGAAATATTCTGTGACCTTGTCTGGAGTCAGTGGGTAAAAGTGCTGGGAATCAATGAATCCTGTCTTTTGTGAGCTGGGGGAGAGAGAGTGGCTACTGTGAAGTTTTTGTCTACGAAACAAAAGATACGGCACAAAACTATAAAACACTGACAATAATACTAAGATCATATCCCAATGTACAATCTACAAAGCACTCATATGTTTTAGCGTGCTTGAGCCGATCATGTTCTTGGGAGGTGGGTATTATTACAGCCACCTCAACAGTGAGGAAACGGCAGCTCAGTGAGATGGGAAGATTTGCCCAGAATCCCACAAGGGGCAAGTTCCGTGAACACAAGTGTCTAATCCTAGCCTTGCTCCCTCAGCTGTCCCTTAGAGACTGTGCCAGGACCCAGGAGTGTGTAGATGCCAGGATGGGGGTTGGGGACCTGGACCTGGTGACCATGGCCCTGGCTGTATGTGCTGGCAGGAACTTGCTGCTCCCCGAGGGGGTGCCCCCCGAACGCCAGTGGGCCCGGTTCTATGTGAAAATTTACCGAGCAGAGGGGCTGCCCCGTATGAACACAAGCCTCATGGCCAATGTAAAGAAGGCTTTCATCGGTGAAAACAAGGACCTCGTGGACCCCTACGTGCAAGTCTTCTTTGCTGGCCAGAAGGTACTGGGGTATGAGGTACAGGAGGCTGGGGCTGGGTGACAGGTATCACAAGGGCAGGCTGATGGGTGTGGGGCCTGGGGCAGCTGGGCAGGTAAGACAAGGCTGGAAATCATGTTGGCCAGGGACGGACTTAGAGGATCCTCACTGCCTCCTGGAGTCCTTAGACTGAGAGCTGCGCAGGGGGCATGAGAGGGAGGAGAGGCTGGGGGTGTGGGAAGAGTGGAGACAAGTCCACACACAGGCACGCACACACACATGCACCCACTCATACACGCACGCATACCAACTCACACACGCACGCATACCAACTCACACATGCAGACACGCACCCACTCACCCGTGCACACGTGCACCCACGAATACACACACACATGCACCCATTCACACACGCACACACACCCACTCACACATGCACACATGCACCCACTCACACACGCACACACACCCATTCACACATGCACACATGCACCCACTCACACACGCACGCATACCCACTCACACGTGCACACATGCACCCACGAATACATACATGCACCCACTCACACGCACACATGCACCCATTAACACACGCACACATGCAACCACTCACACACGCACACATGCATCCACTCACGCACACATGCACCCACTCACGCACACATGCACCCACTCATACACACACATGCATCCACTCACACACGCACGCGCACCCACTCACACATGCACCCACTCACACACGCACACATGCATCCACTCACACACGCATGCACACCCACTCACACATGCACACATGTGCCCACTCACGCACACATGCGCCCACTCACACACACACACATGCACCCACTCACACACACATGCCACGCCCTCACCTGTGCTCCCCCTTCCACCAGGGCAAGACTTCAGTGCAGAAGAGCAGCTATGAGCCCCTGTGGAATGAGCAGGTCGTCTTTACAGACCTCTTCCCCCCACTCTGCAAACGCATGAAGGTGCAGATCCGAGACTCGGACAAGGTCAACGACGTGGCCATCGGCACCCACTTCATTGACCTGCGCAAGATTTCTAATGACGGAGACAAAGGTCAGCAGCGGGAGACCCGGTGTGCTGGGGGGCAGAGGGAGTGGCCTGAAGGGAAGGAATATGTGAGATGCCCTCTCTTCACACCACCGTCATCAGCTCTGGTCCTCAGCCTCACAGGTGCTTCCAGGGCCTTGCCAGCAGCCCCTGCCTCAGGGGGAGGGTGAGGATTTGTGGCTCAGGTCGGCTCAGAGCTGGCCTGAGCCCAGCTGACTGGATTTGTCAGCTAGTAGTTGTGTGACCTGTTTTCCCATTTGTAAAGTGAAAATAATAATGATTATATGATATGATAATTATAGTATGATATGCACATTATAGCAGTGTATATACTGCATTTGTATATAATTACAGTGTGTGTGTATATATATATGATACCTAATAGTAGTGCCTATCTGCAGAATCGCAGGGATTGACTACCTCCTAGGATCCCTGCCCTGTGCTGGGTTCCAAGGACATAGAGTGAGATAAGAATCTATTCCTGGATCAAAGTGCTCACTGTGTATTGAGGAGATAGATGTGCTACCAAATGGTCAAAACATAAGGCAGAAGACACAAAAGGCCACATGTTGTCTGATCCATGTATGTGAAACATCCGGCAAATCCACAGAGACAGAAAGTAGATTGCCGGTTTCCAGGTGCTAAAGGGAGGGGATTGGGACTAACTGCTAAATAGGTGCAGAGTTTCTTTTGAGGGGGTGGAACTGCTCTGGAAGTAGATGATGGTTTATAGCACAGTGAATATACGAAAAACCACTGAAATGTACACTTTAAAAGGGTGAATTTTATGTCATGTGAAGTATATCTAAATTTTTAAAATGCTATAAGTGTGTTTTTTAAAAAAAGGCAGAATAAAAAGGAAATGAACCAAAAAAACTGGATCATGAGACCCCTGTCAGAGGCCTGACAAATCTTAGCCATAAGAGAAGGGACTTGTGCCTAGGAATTGGGAAGGCTTCGTGAGGAAGCAGCATTTCACAGGCAGAGATGGAGAGGGATGGCCTTCAGCAAGGAGGGGAGGGGTCTGCACTGGCAGGGTCACCGTGGTGGGACAGAGCTGCAAAAATGGCACAGGGCCCAAGGTCATGCTGCGGACTTGGAAGGACTGGCTCTGTCCTACAAGTAGACTGTTGACAATTCCTGCTCTAAGTTCCAGGAAGCAGGGAGCTAGACTTTGCCTTCCCACTGCTTCCAGCTCAGGCCCCCGCAGGGAAGAAATAGACCCAAGAGAGTGCTCCACCCCAGCGCAGTGTAAGAAGGCTGCCCCACACCTGAATGGCACACATGAAGTTCTCAGCTCAGCACCCAGGAGCTGGAGGCCAGGGACCCCCAAAAGAGGCCCCTCTTCCCCAGGGAAACTGGATGTGACGCTGCCCCCTCATTTTTGTTCCCACTGCCACAGGCTTCCTGCCCACACTGGGCCCAGCCTGGGTGAACATGTACGGCTCCACACGTAACTACACGCTGCTGGATGAGCATCAGGACCTGAACGAGGGCCTGGGGGAGGGTGTGTCCTTCCGGGCCCGGCTCCTGCTGGGCCTGGCTGTGGAGATCGTAGACACCTCCAACCCTGAGCTCACCAGCTCCACAGAGGTGCAGGTGGAGCAGGCCACGCCCATCTCGGAGGTGAGACCCCAGGCACTGTGCTGTCCCCCAGGGCCTCCAGCTCAGCCCCCTTCTCCCTGAGTCACCTGGGTCCCAGGCTTTGCCTGTTGCTGCCCTGTCTACCTGAGGAGTCATACCTCAGGATAAGGCTTCTCCCCAGGAAGCAGAGGCCCCCACTCAGCCCCGCAACAGGACTCTGCCCTCGTCCACTGCCTGCCTGTGCTCTGTCTCACAACGGCCGCCAGGTCTCACGATGGTGCCTCCCCTCTGCCCCTCTTCCCAGCCACGGCTGTCCCTGTGGTGTCTGCAGCCAGCCCTGCTTCCATGGATATCCAGGCTGGGGGGCCGTTGGGGTGTGGGCTGCCTGGCCCCAAAGCCGGGTGGGATGCCCCCACCATCCACCCCCACGGCCTGTCTGTGAGACGGAAGGAGGCCTGGCCCCCGACCTGCCACCCTTACTCAAGCTCAGGAACGCTTTGAACTGCCTCCCCACAGAGCTGTGCAGGTAAAATGGAAGAATTCTTTCTCTTTGGAGCCTTCCTGGAGGCCTCAATGATCGACCGGAGAAACGGAGACAAGCCCATCACCTTTGAGGTCACCATAGGTGAGTGCTGGGCCCACGGGGGCTTCGGGCCTAGGTGAGTGCTGGGCCCACGGGGGCTTCAGGCCTAGGCTGCAGGTGGTAAGTGTGAGGCTCTGCACCTCAGCCCTGTCCTCACTCTTGTAGGGAACGTTGACCCCTTTCCCCTGAGAGGCCTCAAGCACCCACAAAACACCTTTGTGTGTGCATGGGGTGGACCACGCCCCATAAAGGGGCCAACCCTCAGCTCCACCTACAGGGTGAGGCTGTGTTTGGGACCTGGGGCAGAGGGCAGGGAGAAGCCCTTCCCGGGGCTGGAGAGGAGAGAGTGGGAACTCAGGCCACAGCCTGGGCCAGGGCTGGGCCTCGCACTCAGGCGTCATGAGGACTCCCTGACTCTCAGCGGAGTGGGGACACGGGCTAATGCTCTCTGGCTAATGATGTGTCACGTCTGAGCCCCATTCCCTGACTCTCCCTCTCCCCTTTCCCAAACCCAAGGCAGCACCGGATTGGACGGTGGGAGGGGCCTGGTGGGGAATGCACTCTAGGCCTTCTGGGCCCATTCTGCTCCAGGCAACTATGGGAACGAAGTTGATGGCCTGTCCCGGCCCCAGCGGCCTCGGCCCCGGAAGGAGCCGGGGGATGAGGAAGAAGTAGACCTGATTCAGAACGCAAGTGATGACGAGGCCGGTGATGCCGGGGACCTGGCCTCAGTCTCCTCCACTCCACCAATGCGGCCCCAGGTCACCGACAGGTGGGCCCAGCCTCCCATCCTCCTGTGGCCTGGCCCTCCCACCTCCCTGGGCCCCCAAGACCTCACCTCCCGCCTCTGCCCACCCCAGGAACTACTTCCATCTGCCCTACCTGGAGCGAAAGCCCTGCATCTACATCAAGAGCTGGTGGCCGGACCAGCGCCGCCGCCTCTACAATGCCAACATCATGGACCACATTGCCGACAAGCTGGTCAGGGCCAGGCCAGGGGCCAGCAGGGGTGGGGTCCTGGGGGAGACGGCGCTGTCAGAGGGCCTTCCCTGGAACACACAAAGCTGGTCTGCCCAGGGGGCTGCAGGAACGGCCCCAGCAGGACCTCTGTTCCCATTCTCAGCCCCAGGTCCCAGGGCACAGACAAGGACAGGAGCCACCTCTAGTCACTCAGCCTCCAGTGAATCCTGGGGCAGGAGTGTTGGGTTCCCTGATTTTTCCAGAAATCTTAAAAGCAAGGCTAGGGAGACAGGTGTGGTGGCTCACGCCTGTAATCCCAACACTTTGGGAGGCCAAGGCAGGTGGATCACCTGAGGTCAGGAGTTCGAGACCATCCTGGCCAACATAGTGAAATGCCGTCTCTACTAAAAATGCAAAAATTAGCGGGGCTTGGTGGCGGGCACCTGTAATCCCAGCTATTCGGGAGGCTGAAGCAGGAGAATCGCTTGAACCCGTGAGGCGGAGTTTGCAGTGAGCCAAGATGGCGCCACTGCACTCCAGCCTGGGCAACCGAGCAAAACTTCATCTCAAAAAATAAAATAAAATAAAATAAAACAAAATAAAAAAGCAAGGCTAGGGAAGGGAAATGGGGAAAAGGGAGAAGCGAGCAGTGTCTGAAGCTCAGGAGCTGCCCCCTCCTCCTCTGCCCACCCCTCTCCCCCCATGAGCCATGGGCACTGACTGGGCGAGGAGTGCAGCTGTTGGCATGAGACCTCCTTCTCCCCAGCCTGGGGAAGCAGGGACCAGCAGATAATCCCGCCCTTCCCTGAGCTGTTGCTGTTCCCTGTTGAAGTTCCCTGAAGCTCAGCCAGCTCATATTTTATAAAAATGAATTAAAACCTCCAAAAAAATCAAGGCTAATATGAGGTCTGCTCCCAGCCCCCTGCCAATGTCCTCCTTGTCATCCCTGTCTTGTGACTATAACCACAATTAAAGCCCATAGCCTTTGCAGTGTGACCTGGGTCTGCAGTTATCTGCAAGGCTTCCCCCTAAGGAGCTGGGGTACAAGCTGACCTGTGTTTCCTGTGGGACCTGGGTCTCACAGCCCTCCCAGTGCTCTCAGAGCCAGAGCCACTCCCTCTTCCCCCAGGCATCTGTTCCCATCCCCTGCCACAGGCTCCAGCATTCTGGAGTGACGTCAGGATCTTGGCACATCCAGTCCTAGGGTTTCCCTCTGTCTCTGGCCAGCCCTGAGCCCCGTAGCCGTGAGTTCTGCCCAGGCCCTGTGAGCTCACCAGAGCCACAGACTCACAGCCCAGAGGTGGCTTCTTCCTTCAGGAACTGAAGAACCCCCATGAACACCAACATCTCCAGGTTCTGAGAACAGAACCTGGGAAATTGATGACTTCCTCATGATGACCGATACTCAGGATGGCCCTAGCGAGAGCTCCCAGATCATGAGGTCCCTCACTCCCCTGATCAACAGGGAGGAGGCATTTGGGGAGGCTGGGGAGGCGGGGCTGTGGCCCAGCATCACCCACACTCCTGATTCACAGGAAGAAGGCCTGAACGACATACAGGAGATGATCAAAACGGAGAAGTCCTACCCTGAGCGTCGCCTGCGGGGCGTCCTGGAGGAGCTGAGCTGTGGCTGCTGGTGAGAAGGGAGGGGCGGCAGGTGGGGGGAGGATGAGGCGGAACTGGACAAAGGGGACCCTGCCAGGGCTGGGCAGATGAGGAAGAATCTACAGAGCCCCTGCTGGTCAGGCTCGCTAAACCCCGGCTCGCCCTACCCCCAGCCGCTTCCTCTCCCTCGCTGACAAGGACCAGGGCCACTCATCCCGCACCAGGCTTGACCGGGAGCGCCTCAAGTCCTGCATGAGGGAGCTGGTGAGGACGCAACTGGACGGCGGGGGCTGGAGGGAGGGCCTGGTTGTGAGAAGGTGTCACAACCCCCTTTGTCATGGCCCGAGCTGTCCCCCAGTTGCTGGGTTCACTGACACCCCCTCCTTCGCAGGAAAACATGGGGCAGCAGGCCAGGATGCTGCGGGCCCAGGTGAAGCGGCACACGGTGCGGGACAAGCTGAGGCTGTGCCAGAACTTCCTGCAGAAGCTGCGCTTCCTGGCGGACGAGGTGCGGCCCAAGGGGTCGGGGCTTTGCCTCATCCAGGGCTGGCTCTCTGGGGCCCCTCAGGATCAGGGGGCTCAATCAGGAGGCTAGACCCCCTTACCCACTGCCCCTGGCCACCCCCCAACCCCCAGCCCCAGCACAGCATTCCCGACATCTTCATCTGGATGATGAGCAACAACAAGCGTGTCGCCTATGCCCGTGTGCCCTCCAAGGACCTGCTCTTCTCCATCGTGGAGGAGGAGACTGGCAAGGACTGCGCCAAGGTCAAGACGCTCTTCCTTAAGGTGCTGGAGGGGGCAGGATGGATGGGGGCCTGGGTCCTTTCAGGGGAGCAGCAGCCCCCACCTGGGGCTGGAAGCCTGAGTGACAGGGTGGGGCCTTCAAGCAGCAGGTGCTCAGAGAAGAGCCAAGAATGGGAAGGACGTGGGGGAAGGGGTGGGGAAGGAGGTGGGGGAAGGGGTGGGGGAAGGGGTGGGGAAGGAGGTGGGGGAAGGGGTGGGGGAAGGGGTGGGGGAAGGGGTGGGGAAGGAGGTGGGGGAAGGGGTGGGGGAAGGGGTGGGGAAGGAGGTGGGGGAAGGGGTGAGGGAAGGGGTGGGGGAAGGGGTGGGGAAGGAGGTGGGGGAAGGGGTGGGGAAGGAGGTGGGGGAAGGGGTGGGGAAGGAGGTGGGGGAAGGGGTGGGGAAGGGGGCATGACGGCCCCCTGCCCATCCTCCTGCCTCCACCGGACCCCAGCCCAGCGGGATGGCTGTGAAGGGGCAGGGCAGCTCTGACCAGGGCCTCTGCCGGCCCCTGCCCCTTCCCCACCTCTTGGGCCCTGGCAGCCGTCAGGCTCCTGGTGACCCCATGCCCACCCCCAGCTGCCAGGGAAGCGGGGCTTCGGCTCGGCAGGCTGGACAGTGCAGGCCAAGGTGGAGCTGTACCTGTGGCTGGGCCTCAGCAAACAGCGCAAGGAGTTCCTGTGCGGCCTGCCCTGTGGCTTCCAGGAGGTCAAGGCAGCCCAGGGCCTGGGCCTGCATGCCTTCCCACCCGTCAGCCTGGTCTACACCAGTGAGTGAGGACCCCTCACTCGAAGCCTCACCTGGGAGGGGGCCGGAGGGGCTGCCCATCCTGGAACCTCAGGCTGCCCTTCCCCACAGAGAAGCAGGCGTTCCAGCTCCGAGCGCACATGTACCAGGCCCGCAGCCTCTTTGCCGCCGACAGCAGCGGACTCTCAGACCCCTTTGCCCGCGTCTTCTTCATCAATCAGAGTCAGTGCACAGAGGTGAGGGCCTGGGAGGAGGGAGTGGCTCTGGCTTTGAGAGCACCAGAAGCCTGTGAGCCTGTGGGGACTGGAGCCTGTGGGGCCTGTGAGCCTGTGGGGCCTGGAGCCACAGGTCAGCCAGTGCCCCGGTTTCTCAGGGGAAGCCCTGCAGATAACTGCAGCAGACGCGGGTCACACTGGAAAGGCTACGGGCTTTAGCTGTGGTTATATTCACAAGACAGGGACGACAAGGAGGACATTGGCAGGGGGCTTGGGCCAAACCTCATATTAGCCTTGATTTTAAGATTTCTGGAAGAATCAAGACACCTGTCACTCCTGCCCCCAGGTTCCGTGGAAGCTGAGTGAGTAGGGGTGGCTTCTGTTTGTGCATCTGCCCCCCCCTCTGTCACTTGTCCCCTGTCTCCCCATCCCATGCTGCAGGTGCTGAATGAGACCCTGTGTCCCACCTGGGACCAGATGCTGGTGTTCGACAACCTGGAGCTCTATGGTGAAGCTCATGAGCTGAGGGACGATCCGCCCATCATTGTCATTGAAATCTATGACCAGGATTCCATGGTATGGGTGGGCTCTGGTGCCAGGGACCCCAGCAGCACCACACCTGGCCCTTGTTCCCTGCACTCCACCTGCGCTGAGGCTGTGCCCTCACCTCCGCCACCCACCTGCAGAGCTCCTTGGCCAGGTGCTGGCTGGGAAGCTGGGAGTGGGGGCTGACATCTAGCTCCTCCTGCCTGCTTGCGGCAGCCTGACCCCTTCCCAGGCCAGCACATCCTCACCTCCTGTCTCCTACAGACTGAGCCCTGGAGGTGTGCCAGCAAGTCCTGCTGTCACTAGCCTCCCCACCCCAGGGCTCCCCGACCCCTGCCCTCACCTACCACAACCAGTAACAGCCTTGCCATCCTCCGTGGAGGTTCTGGAGCAGGGAGTAAGGGATTGGGGTGACCCCCGAGAGTTAGCGAGCCACCTTCTCACATACCACCTCAGCTGCTGAGGTGCCCAGATAGCCCTGGACTAGAGGTAGGAGGACCTCATGTCTAGTCCTGAGCCGGGCATCTGCCATTTACTGACTGCTTGGCCTTGAACAAGTCTTTGGTGGGCCCTGAGACTTGGTTTCCTCATCTGTAAAATGGGGTGATCACACCTGTCCCTTACAACAACTCATGGCGCTGTGGTAAGGACCAAACGAGATCACAGGTGTGGACAGCAAGCACCAAGAGGCTTCTGGGTTGTCTGTTGCGTCAGGGCAAAGCTGACTTCATGGGCCGGACCTTCGCCAAACCCCTGGTGAAGATGGCAGACGAGGCGTACTGCCCACCCCGCTTCCCACCTCAGCTCGAGTACTACCAGATCTACCGTGGCAACGCCACAGCTGGAGACCTGCTGGCGGCCTTCGAGCTGCTGCAGGTGGGACTGCAGGGAAGAGGGGCTGAGGCCTGGGGACTGGAGGCTGGGAGTTGGGGCCTAGGGCTGGGGGCTGGACCCTGAAGGCTGGGGCCTGGGGTCTGGGGCCTGGGGGTGGGGCCTGGGGGCTGGAGGCTGGGGCCTGGGGCTGGGGGCTGGGGCTGAGGGCTGGGGCCTGGGGCCTGGGGGGTTAGGGCCTGGGCGTTAGGTCCTGGGGGTTGGGGCCTGGAGCTGGGGCCTGGGGGCTGGGGCCTAGGGGCCTCTCTCCTACCCATCCTGACCAAAGCTGGGGGCGTGGTCCTTAGGGGGTTTCCCTGTCTCCCCAGATCATGGCAAACAACTCATGGGGAAAGAGACCCTGTCCCTGGGCTCCCCAGTGTGTGACCTGTGACCCCCATTCCCCAGATTGGACCAGCAGGGAAGGCTGACCTGCCCCCCATCAATGGCCCGGTGGACGTGGACCGAGGTCCCATCATGCCCGTGCCCATGGGCATCCGGCCCGTGCTCAGCAAGTACCGAGTGGAGGTGCGAGGGCTCTGTGTGGCCCTTCCCTTTTGGATGAGGAGTCTGAGGACCCAGGAGGGGAAGTGGCTTGTCATCCCCCTCCCACCACCATCACCAGGAGCCAGCAGCAGACCCAGGCTCCTGCCCCAGCCCAGGGCCTGCCCCCATCTGCACCAAGTCGCACTCCCATGTCCCAGGACCATGCCCAGCCCTCCTGTCTGCACCCCTGACCCTGCACCCCTTCTCCGGGCAGCCCCACCCTCATCCCTGGAGAACGCCTGCCCCTCCTCTGCTCTCCTGGCCCTGCTCCCACCCTTTGAAATCTGGGGTGAACTACTGCCCATCCCACTGCCCGGTTCCCTATTGGATGGTCCAGCACCCCCATGGCTGGCTCCCTTGACTAAGGGGCTCTCTTCTCTGCACCCACCCTCCAACCTCTCCCAGGTGCTGTTCTGGGGCCTACGGGACCTAAAGCGGGTGAACCTGGCCCAGGTGGACCGGCCACGGGTGGACATCGAGTGTGCAGGGAAGGGGGTGCAGTCGTCCCTGATCCACAATTATAAGAAGAACCCCAACTTCAACACCCTCGTCAAGTGGTTTGAAGTGGTGAGTGCAGGCCCTGGCGGAGGACATCCTGTGGCCAGTGTGGCTCCACTCAGCCAGCCGGCTTCCTCTGCCCCTTCTTGGAGGCTCAGGCTCCTGTCGCCAACACCCCAGGACCTCCCAGAGAACGAGCTGCTGCACCCGCCCTTGAACATCCGTGTGGTGGACTGCCGGGCCTTCGGTCGCTACACACTGGTGGGCTCCCATGCCGTCAGCTCCCTGCGACGCTTCATCTACCGGCCCCCAGACCGCTCGGCCCCCAGCTGGAACACCACGGGTATGGCCACATCCACCCTGCCACCAAGCCTGGCTCCACGCCCCCCAGGGAAGGGCTCCAGGTCTCCGCCCAGTCCAAGCCGCGACCAGAGTTTGCTCTTTGGGGCCGAGGGGGTGGGCATAGAAGAAGGTCACCCTGGTGGCCAAGGAAGGCTGCCCAAGGTGACGCCAGCTCTACAGCCAGAGAGGGCAGAACTGGAGACAGCCTGGGGGGGCCTGAGGGCAGAAAGCCCCTTGCGCTGGTTGATGGAGAAGACCCAGGCCTCCCCGCCACCTCCCTCCCACCGGCCTCCGCAGCTTCCCCTTATCTCGGGCTCTCTTCTTCCCTCCCCATGCCCATATTTTCTCCCTTGACTGCCTGTCCCCCTCTCCCTCAGAAAGTTCCAGAATCAGCTTTAGTTCTCCGCACCTTCCTGCCCCGCCAATCTCACTGTTCCTCTTGCTCCTTCCTCTGCCTGTCTGTCCATCTATCCATCTGTCCAGTCAGGCTTCTCCGGCGCTGCCGTGTGCTGTGCAATGGGGGCTCCTCCTCTCACTCCACAGGGGAGGTTGTGGTGACTATGGAGCCAGAGGTACCCATCAAGAAACTGGAGACCATGGTGAAGCTGGACGCGGTAAGGCGGGTGGGGTCAGCCCCCTGCTGGCTGGGAACATGCAACTTCGTGTGACACATCCTGTGAACCAGACTATCTGCCCCGAGAGAAAAGGACACTAAGAGCCTCCTTTGGCATGTGACTGTCGGGGGCTGAGCTTGATTGTGTGTCCAAACAGCTCCCTCCTAATACTATCCTGGAATGCACACGCGTGCGTGTGGTATGTAAATGTGCATGTGTGTGCGCATGTGTGTGGTGTGCATATGTGCATGTGTGTGTGCATGCATGTGATGTATGTGCATTTGTGCGTGCATGCGTATGTGTGGTGTGCATATGTGCATCGTGCATGTATGCATGTGGTGTATGTGCATGTGTGTGTGCATGTATGTGGGGTATGTGCATATGCACGTGCGTGCGTGTGGTGTGCACATGTGCATGCATGTGTGGTGTATGTTCATATGCACGTGCATGCATGCATGTGGTATGAGCATGTGCATGTATGTGTGCATGCGTATGGTGTGCATATGTGCATGTGGTGTGTGCATATGTGTGTGCATGTGGTGTGTAAATGCATATGTGCATGTGTGCAGTGTGCATGCATGCGGGTGGTAGGTAAATGTGCATGAGTGTGGTATATATGCATATATGTGTGCATGTGCGCTTGTGTGCATATGTGCATGTGTGCATGTGGTATGTAAATGTGCATGTGTGCATGTGTGCATGTGGTGTATGTGCATATATGTGTGCATGCATGCTTGCGGTGTGCGTATGTGCACATGCGTGCATACATGTGGGTGTGTGCATGTGCACTGGCATGTGGTATGTGTGTATGAGAGACAGAGTGAGCCATCACAGTTTATTATAATCACCTGCTATAATTTTTACTCCAACAAATGACACCATAGGTAATGATTCCTTATGAGATCATCAGTGTCCTTTCCAAAGAGTCCCTGGTTTTCCATCCCAGCCATTCACAAATGACACTTCCCTGGCCTGGGTCAGAGGAGGATTTCCAGGTGGAAGCTCCTTATTCCTCCTGGCTTTGGGCCTAGGACTGTTCATCTGCCAGAGAGAGAACTGCCATCTGGGGGTTGGGTGTGGAAGTGGCGTACAAGCTGTAGACCCTACAGGGAAGGGCAGAACGTGGGCCAGCCTGGAACACAGCCCACTGTTCCTTTGGCCACCCAAAGAAACATCCTCACTCAGACCCTTTGCAGACTCACCAGTCAGAGTGCTCTTATTAATGCAAAGTTGGCCTTGCGGGCACAGGGGCTGCCAGCACACAGTAATTTCCATCTCGGCTCCTCCACACACCCTGTGCTAGGCCACTGCCTGCCACTCCAGGCCCCAGTGGCTGATTCTGCCCCTGTCTCCTTGGTTCCTCTGCAGACTTCTGAAGCTGTTGTCAAGGTGGATGTGGTGAGTGTGGGGGCCATGCAGGGGCTCTGGGGTGAGAGGGTCCTTTATTGGCAATGATGTCAGGCCAAAGGGTCCAGCATCAGGGACAGAGCCAGCCCCAGCCCCCGCATGCTTGGGCCAGCACACCTCCCCTAAGATGCAGTGGAAAAGAGCTGGGTGAGTGCAGGACTCGGTGCCAGTCCTGCTTGGGCGAGTGGATCGCACTGGCAGGTCACAACACTCTGTGGCCTGTGGCACCTTCTCCATAAAATAAGGCCCTGCCCCTTGGACATGGGTGGCCCCACAGAGCCTCATGGAGCCCAAGGCTTCCTGCTGACAGATGGCGGAATGGGTGGAGGCTCTCGGGATTGTCCAGGCAGGAGGAGTCCATGTAGGACTCTGGACCTGGCCAACCTGCAGGCTGAGGAGGAGAAGGAGAAGAAGAAGAAGAAGAAGGGCACTGCGGAGGAGCCAGAGGAGGAGGAGCCAGACGAGAGCATGCTGGACTGGTGGTCCAAGTACTTTGCCTCCATTGACACCATGAAGGAGGTGAGACCTCGGGTAGGGTGAGGGGAGGTGACCCCCTCCACACTCAGACCCTCCTGTCCAGCTTCTTTCCCACGGCCCCCAAGAGCTGGATCCCAACTCCATTCATGTGAGTTTGGGATGGTTTTGTCTCACATCCTTGAAATCCTAGCTCAGAACTCACCTTCCAAGATGATGGTCCCATCTACCTTCCCTGCTTGGTTTTCTTTTGTCCTCATTGACTCATTCCACAAATGCCTCTTGGGTATATGCGATGAGCCAGGCTCCATACTAGGTGCTATGGGAGCCAAAAGATGCCACACCTGCCCTGATGGGCCTCCGGTTTACTGGGCAAAATGGACATGTAAACAGAGACTTAGAGAGGACTATGTGATAACAAAGGCAAATCATGGCTTGGGGGAATCAGGGAAGGCGTCTCAGAGGAGGTGACCTTTGTGGAAAAGGAGAAACATGTTCTCAGAGGCCATAAGGGAACAACTGCTTATCAGTAGTCCTTACGACTCTTCTTCATAATGTTTTATTTTACACATCTTGGTCATCGGCACGTGAATGATTCTTCCCCTATTACACATATGTGGGTTCCATCTGTTTGGCCAGATTGCAAGTTCCAGAAAGCGCATTTCTCTGCTTTCTTGTTTGTGTCCTCTCCACGCTGCCTACCTAGCTCAGGGTGCTCTGACTGGCCACCTGACCAGGAGGGACACATGCCTGCAGTTGTGTTTCCTCAGTGGGGCCAGAGCTGATCCAGCCACATCCTCTCCCAGGCCCTTTCTGTGACCCAAGCTAGGTGTGATATTTATTAGAGCACACATTAAGCTGCTGTAGCAAGTTAGAGTGAAGTGAACAAGACAGCAGTTTATTTCTCACATAACATCTCAGAGAGTGGGGGTTAGGCTGGTATGGTGGCTCAGTGGTGTCAAGGACTAAGATCCTGACCTCTTGTTTGTCACATCTGTAAGGTTGGAGGTGACTCAACATCATGTTCTAATTCAAGTGCACAGGAAGGGTTAAAGAGGAGATGAGGCATATGCTTTTCTTTTTCAGGGCCCAATCCAGAAGCTGCACATATGACTTCCACTCACATTGATCAGAATCTAGTCCCTTAGCTACACTTATCTGCAAAGGAGGCTGGGAAATGTAATCTTTCACAAGGTGGCTGTGTGCTCAGCAAAACTTGTAAAAATAGGAGAACAGATCATTGAGGACAACTGGTAGTCTCGTCTCCCACCATCAAGTTGGCCAGGCTGGAGCTGCAAGAGGCTGCCTGTTGTCGTCTCTACTCCTGCAATTTTCACAGACTGCCACCAGGTGGCGGTGGCGACTTAGTTGAAACCTGGTTTCTAGTTTCTAGTAAGATTTATTCTCGTTTCCAGTAAGATGGGGTGTGCTGAGTGAAAGAAAATATAGTACATTTTCTTACTGTTATACTTTTGTACATTAAAACAATTTATTAATATCACTAAAAGCAACATTAAAATGCACTGTACTTTTTTAAGTAGAAAATGTAAATATTTATTGCAAGGTGTTATTTCTTTTTTTTTTAAATTATACTTTAAGTTCTAGGGTACATGTGCACAATGTGCAGGTTTGTTACATATGTATGCATGTGCCATGTTGGTGTGCTACACCCATTAACTCGTCATTTACAGTGGGTATTGCTCCTAATGCTATCCCTCCCCTCTCCCCCAGCACCACCACAGGCCCCGGTGTGTGATGTTCCCCTCCCTGTGTCCAAGTGTTCTCATTGTTCAGTTCCCTCCCATGAGTGAGAACATGCAGTGTTTGGTTTTCTGTCCTTGTGACAGTTTCTTCAGAATGATGGTTTCTGGCTTCATCCATGTCCCTGCAAAGGACATGAACTCATCCTTTTTTATGGCTGCATAGTATTCCATGGTGTATATGTGCCACAGATGCATAAACCCCTAAGTACCACTAGTCACACTGTACACATTATAAACTTTTTTTAACCCACTTAAGCAGAGCACATGGTGGACTTGAAATGCAGTAGGGAAGATTTTCTACTTCTAGTGCATTAAGACTGGTCTGGGCCCACAATTTGGGGTCAACAGACTCCTCCCCAGGAAACCCACCTTCTGTCCTTTTCATCTCATCTTTTGGCAGCAACTTCGACAACAAGAGCCCTCTGGAATTGACTTGGAGGAGAAGGAGGAAGTGGACAATACCGAGGGTGAGCCCTGGAACCTGGAACTCTGCCTCCTCCTCCCCGCCCCTGGGTGGTCAGCTCTCCTGCCCACCTCATCACCTGCTTCTCTTTTCCCTCCTGCCAGCCCTCCCAGCCTTAGTAGCCAGGGAAGCAGCATCAGTAATCCATGGGCAGTACTGGGCAGGCTAAGGCCCTTGTCCAGGGAGGCTTTTACTCTGACCAGTTCAGCACCCACAGTGATGGGCAGACATTTAGAGCCACAGAACATCAGAGCTAGAAGGGACCTCAGAGCTCATTCCATCCAGCATTTTCCAGACTCTTTTCCATGAAGAAAATTGATGGATGTTCTAGAAGGAACAAATTAGTTTTGGTCAAATTAGTTTAGGAAAAGCTGATTGAAACAGCTTGTTTTGGTGCAGGACTTTTCATACCCTTTACTGTGCAAATGTTATTATACATCTCTAAAAGGAAGACACAGTATAAAATATTTCCCCAGCTTATTGGATCACAGTACCCTTTCTTCTAAAGCATGCCAGCAGCATCTGCACCAGGTGCTCCACTGAATGAGGTTTGGGAAATGCTAATACAGAGTGTTATTATTATGGACAAGAAGAGGGAAGCTAGTGAGGAAAGTGAGTGGGCAAGGAACTGCGCAGCAACAGGCCTCCACCCCCAAACCCATGCTCCTTCCTGCCCCTCTCTTCCAAAGGGCATGAAGACAGTCTTCAGACACCTTCCCGGGCATAAACCCACTGGGGCCCCCAGCACCTCCATGAGGCGGGCATGCTAGGGAGTATTATCTGCATTTGACAGCACATGGACATCCGAGAGTTAAGTTAGTAAAGCAAATTAGCGACAGAGCTGGGTCTCGAATCCAGGCCTTCCTGCTCTGCTCATTTCTGCTCCACCTCCTTTTCTGCTTCTGGCCAGGCCTGAAGGGGTCAATGAAGGGCAAGGAGAAGGCAAGGGCTGCCAAAGAGGAGAAGAAGAAGAAAACTCAGAGCTCTGGCTCTGGCCAGGGGTCCGAGGCCCCCGAGAAGAAGAAACCCAAGATTGATGAGCTTAAGGTGAGAGCCTAGGAGCAGACCCTTCTAGGGTGTGTGGGGGCGGGAAGAGGGGGGCGCAGTGATCCTGCAGGTGGGGCAGGACAAAAGCCAGAGACCAGGCAGCCGCCCCCTAACAGCCTGGTCTGTCTCAGGTATACCCCAAAGAGCTGGAGTCCGAGTTTGATAACTTTGAGGACTGGCTGCACACTTTCAACTTGCTTCGGGGCAAGACCGGGGATGATGAGGATGGCTCCACCGAGGAGGAGCGCATTGTGGGACGCTTCAAGGTCAGGCCAGGAGCACGGGCCCAGCCTGAGCACCCGCCAGCCCTTGCCCCCCCCACAGGTTCCCCCACTCACCTCCCACCACTGCCCCGGCCACTGCCTCCAGAAGCCCTGGACTCTCCCATGACTCAGCAGTTAAAGGGTGAAGGCCCTGCCACATCAGGGTCCAGCCCTCCTGGTGCTGTTAGCTATTTTGAATGCCACCCTTGCCAGGCAAACCTACACCCTGACCCACATTTGTCTTGCCCAGGGCTCCCTCTGCGTGTACAAAGTGCCACTCCCAGAGGACGTGTCCCGGGAAGCCGGCTACGACTCCACCTACGGCATGTTCCAGGGCATCCCGAGCAATGACCCCATCAATGTGCTGGTCCGAGTCTATGTGGTCCGGGTGAGACTCCCGTCGCTTTCCCTCCTTGCAAGTCTCCTCATCCTCCCATCTGGGAGAGAGCAAAGAAGCTGCATACTGGCCAGGTGCAATGGTTTACGCCTGTAATCCCAGCACTTTGGGAGGCCAAGGCAGGAGGATCACCTGAGGTCAGGAGTTCGAGACCAGCCTGGCCAACATGGTTAAACCCCGTCTCTACTAAAAATACAAAAATTAGCCAGGCACAGTGCCACGCACCTGTAATCCCAGCTACTGAGGAGGCTGAGGCAGGAAAATCGCTTGAACCTGGGAGGTGGAGCTTGCAGTGAGCTGAGATCACGTCATTGCACTCCAGCCTGGGAGACAGAGCGAGACTCTGTCTCAAAGGAAAAAAAAAAGAAGAAGAAGCTGCATACTGACAGCCCCAGACTGGGAGGCACCAGGGAGATCATTTGGTCTAGTCTTTATCTTTTCTAGAGGAAGAAGTCAACGCCCAGAGAGGGGTAGCCACTTGCCTAGGGTCACACAGCAAGCCTCCTGAGGGGTCCAGTGCTCCTGCCCCTGCCCTTCACTGTCATAGGACCCTCAGGCAGCCTGGCAGGGGCACTGAAGATGAGCAGGGCATGGGAGCCTGCTCAGGCAGCCCTTCTCCCCATTCCAGGCCACGGACCTGCACCCTGCTGACATCAACGGCAAAGCTGACCCCTACATCGCCATCCGGCTAGGCAAGACTGACATCCGCGACAAGGAGAACTACATCTCCAAGCAGCTCAACCCTGTCTTTGGGAAGTAAGGCTTCTTGGTGCCCTCCCCTGCCACACCCCTACTTCTCCAACCCAGAACACCTCCCACCCTAGCCAATCCTTAAGCCCTTCTCCTAACTCCACCCCACCAGGTCCTTTGACATCGAGGCCTCCTTCCCCATGGAATCCATGCTGACGGTGGCTGTGTATGACTGGGACCTGGTGGGCACTGATGACCTCATTGGGGAAACCAAGATCGACCTGGAGAACCGCTTCTACAGCAAGCACCGCGCCACCTGCGGCATCGCCCAGACCTACTCCACGTATGTGGGGCATGGGGCAGAGGGCGGGGGCAGTGTGCCTGCTTTGCCTCCACTCTAAAATGAGATTCAGATCCTGGTGATTTGAGAGGTTAGACATTGTGGTTTCTGTCCCAGGCCAGGCCTCTGCCCCTACAGTCCCTGGGCACAGTCTTCAGGGGACAGGACTGCAGATCCCAAAACAAGGAGAGGGACAGTGGATTCCAGGACAGAGGAGGCAGGACGAGGAGAGACAAGTGGGCTAGGGAAGGTGGGGGCTAGCAAGAGGAGGACAGAAAGAGTCCCCTGGGGATCTGGGCCAGCTCTGCCACTTATAGGCTGTGTGACCCTGGCCAAGTCCCTTCACCTCTCTGGTTTTCAGTTTCCTCATGGGAGTCTCTGAGGTTCCAGAGGAGTGGGCACAGTGAGGGGATGCAGTGGGGCTAGGCTGGGGACACTGATATGTGGTCCAAGGCCCAGGGCAGGAAGGTTCAGCCTCCAGCAGCCCTAGTGTCTCAGGTGAGCCTGGGGCCCAGGGCAGGAGGAATCAGGCTCACTTGCTGATGAGGGCAACAGCCAACTTTAGAGAACTGGCCACGACCAGCTGTCATCCAGGATGGCTTAGTCCCACCCAGCCCCTCCAAGCCTGTGTGTCCCCTCCCACAGACATGGCTACAATATCTGGCGGGACCCCATGAAGCCCAGCCAGATCCTGACCCGCCTCTGCAAAGACGGCAAAGTGGACGGCCCCCACTTTGGGCCCCCTGGGAGAGTGAAGGTGGCCAACCGCGTCTTCACTGGGCCCTCTGAGATTGAGGACGAGAACGGTAATGGGGCACTGGATGCAGCCGCCTGCCCCCTCTCCAGGGGGTTTCAGAGGCCAGGAGGGGCCCACACTTCCCTGGGGAACCTCACAGCCTAGCCTGGGGTGTCCTCAGCCTAAACCTGGTCTTAGTGACCCTCTGCTCATCACCCCAGAGCCCCGTTCCTGTCTGCCCAGCCTCTGTGCTTCCACCCCTCCTACAGGGCAGCCCCACCTGCTTTCTCTCTGTCCAAATCCCAGTGAGGTAGAGAGGCTATCTGCATCCCATTCTGCAGATAAACAAACCAAGATCCTACTTCTAGTGACTCGCCCAAGGTCATGTGGCTCTTTAGAGGCAGAGCGAGGGCATCGGCCCAGGTCCATCTGGCTCTAATCCTTAAACTCTCCTTACTTCTCTGTCCATGAGGCACTTCCCAGAGAAGCAGAGAATTGGGAGGTGTCTGTGCTGGTATCTGATCACTTTCAGGTGCTGGGACAGGAAGTGGATTCTCCCCTCCCTGACCCTTCTCTCAGCCCAGCAGGGCTCTCCAGTCAACTTCCCCAAGCAGAGGACCAAGGGCACAGACCTCTCTTGGCCCTGTGGGGCAGCTGAGACCCTGGGCAAGCCACTTCTCCTTCTGTGCCTCAGTTTCCCCAACAGTGAAAAGGAGGTGGGGTAGACAGGTGATGGCATAGAGGCTTCTTTGTGCTCCTAAGTCCCTAGTCCCAGCAAAGGTCTTCTGGTTCTGCTGAGCCATGTGTGCAGCTGAGCCGCCGGCACCCACAGGTCAGAGGAAGCCCACAGACGAGCATGTGGCGCTGTTGGCCCTGAGGCACTGGGAGGACATCCCCCGCGCAGGCTGCCGCCTGGTGCCAGAGCATGTGGAGACGAGGCCGCTGCTCAACCCCGACAAGCCGGGCATCGAGCAGGTGACACTTGCATGGCCAAGACTGGGGTTCTTGGGTATTGGGGACCAGGGATCCCCAACCTGAGTCAGTAAAGGTAGAAGCCAGGCCTCACGCTGTCCGCTGCATTCCAGAAAGCCTGGCAGGCACCTTCCCACCAAGGCCCCTCAGGGTAACTTGAATGGCAAGGGTCTTTGCTTTGAGTGAGAATTACATCAGCTCAGGCAGAGACCTGGGTTGTCTCCCTCAGAAGCTGTGATTGGCTATTGGTGACATCATAGGAATTCCTGGCATCCAAAGATGGAAACTGATGAACTGGGTCCTTGACAGAACAAAGGTTAGGAGGGAGAGGAGAGCTGATCTTCCTGGGCAGAGGGAGAAGGCCCTGGGAGATCTGCCACAACCCTCTTCCTCAGGGCCGCCTGGAGCTGTGGGTGGACATGTTCCCCATGGACATGCCAGCCCCTGGGACGCCTCTGGACATCTCACCTCGGAAGCCCAAGAAGTGAGCGGCCTGGGGCCCAGCGCTACTCCCTTCCGGCCCACCCCACCCACTTCCCACCACGGCCCAACCCTTCCTGCGGGGGGCTCAGGTCCAGATGGCCTTGGCCAGTTGGCATCCCTGGGGCCTGGGTGTGGCCACTGGGCCTTATAGGGGAGAAACTGACCAACCAATCGATAGAGTTTAGGGCCTGCCCTGGAGAGTCCCCACGTGCTAAGGCAGGACAACGCCTTCCACCCTGCATCAGTGAGCGAGACAAGCCCCACACAGCACACTCCGGTGCATTGTATCTACACGGTCTACGCGCCCATACACATGCATCTCATGCACACACACACACACAGCATAGCACTCCCACGGACACCCACACACATGCCCACACTGACGCACTCCTTCACAACACACAGAACCCCTGGGAGCCGGCCCTGCGTCATCCTCACATCCAGGCTAGTGTGATGTTCCGCCAAGTTTTCTTTGGAGTGCCTGCCAGTGATGAATCCAGGAGTGAGTGCCTGGAAGAGGCAGGAGGTGGTAGAGTGAAAAGAACCCGGGTTTCCCATCCATAAAGCGGCAGGTTCAAGTCCAGCTGTCAGACAGTGACTGGATTCAGGGCCAGCTTCAGGGATGGAGGAAGCCACACAGGGTCCCACTCTTGTTTCCATGCTCCTATGTTGCCATCTTGAAATTCTTTATGACAAGTGACCCTGCATTTCCATTTGGCGCTGGCCCCAGCAAATCATGCAGCAAATTCTGCCAGGAATGTCCTGGAAACCTGAGGCCATGAGTCAGCTGTTCCAGGGCCTGTCATTAGGGGGCACCCAACTCACTGGGCCACTCTGGGCTCGCAGCCCTGTCTGCAATCCCAGGAGAGCCATGCTCAGATCAATTTTTAGTGAATGACTCAGCCTCACTCTTAATGATTGAAATGAACTACATCATTCATAATTACAATTAAACCTTGAGGGGAAAATCCTCTTTGGGGACAGGGACATACAGCTTCCATGGGCTTCCATTGCTGGCTACTGGGCTTAAATGCAGACTTCTCTTGGAACTAGCATCTGAGACAGAGGGTGGCTTCCTCCCCTCACCCCACCCCCACCGCCCACAGCCATGTGCCTGGTGGGCCTTCTCACTCATGCCTCTGCTCCCCCAACCCCAAACCACTCCTCCAGCCCCAGCCTGGCCCAGGCCCTGTGCTGACCCCAAGACCCCAGGGCTTCTCTCCGCCTGCCCCATCCCAGCCCTGGCACCCTGGCATAACCCCCACCTGGGGCTGCTAACCAGCCTTCTCTCCCTGGGCCCAGGTACGAGCTGCGGGTCATCATCTGGAACACAGATGAGGTGGTCTTGGAGGACGACGACTTCTTCACAGGGGAGAAGTCCAGTGACATCTTCGTGAGGGGGTGGGTGAGCAGTCCCTGCATGGGAGGGACTGAGCTGGGTGGGGCTTGCTTCCCGGGGGGCAGGAGAGGAGGCAGAGGGAAGGTGGCTGTGGGTGGGAGAGGCCCCACCAGCCTGGCTGCGGGTCTGGAGATGTGGCGCCCACAGGTGGCTGAAGGGCCAGCAGGAGGACAAGCAGGACACAGACGTCCACTACCACTCCCTCACTGGCGAGGGCAACTTCAACTGGCGCTACCTGTTCCCCTTCGACTACCTGGCGGCGGAGGAGAAGATCGTCATCTCCAAGAAGGAGTCCATGTTCTCCTGGGACGAGACCGAGTACAAGATCCCCGCGCGGCTCACCCTGCAGATCTGGGATGCGGACCACTTCTCCGCTGACGACTTCCTGGGTGCAGAGCAGGGCAGGGATGGGGGTTCAGGATCCAGAACTGAGAAGAGGCAGGGGCCGGGTTGGCGGGGACAGGGAGAGCCCTGCCTTGGGGGGACAAGGGGTCATTGCTTCCAGTCCATCAGAGCCAGGGGTGTCCGACGGGGTTCCGCCCCCAAGGACCCACCTAACCGTCCCTAGGCAGATGTTCTCAGTGTCATAACCAGGCTGACAACAAGCTTTGGACACACCAAGGAGGGGGCAGTCAGTGATGATGGGGGAGGGGAGAGGCTCCCTAAGGGAGTCGGGAAACCTCCCTGGGCCTCAGGTTGCTTCTCTGTAAAGCAGGGATTCTCCCTAAAACTCTAATCTGCATCTGCAAAAGCTTGTGGGATTAGCAGGACTTTGACAGAATGGATGCATGGCAGGGAGTGGCAGGGGAGACCCCAGGAGAGACCCTCTGGGGTGAAAGAAGGACCTGAGTAAAGCATGGGGGCTGGGGCTGCCTAGCAAGCCCACGAGGATGCCTGCATTGAGGCCAGTTGCTGGGAGTGAGGCAGGAGGATGAGATGTGGGCTCAGGGAGGTCTGCACTCAGCAAACAAGGGGCCGAGGAGCCCAGACCCCCACCCCCACCCCGCCCCACCCCAGCCCTGTTCACTCTGAGCTGACACTGAGGTTGCCACAGGGGCCATCGAGCTGGACCTGAACCGGTTCCCGCGGGGCGCAAAGACAGCCAAGCAGTGCACCATGGAGATGGCCACCGGGGAGGTGGACGTGCCCCTCGTGTCCATCTTCAAGCAAAAGCGCGTCAAAGGCTGGTGGCCCCTCCTGGCCCGCAATGAGAACGATGAGTTTGAGCTCACGGTGCGCACCCCTTCCTGCTCGGGCAGTAGGCAGGGCTGGGACTGGCTGGGGTGCCAAGGGCCCAGCACGCAGCCTGGACGCTGGGACCTGTCTGTCCTCTGCAGGGCAAGGTGGAGGCTGAGCTGCATTTACTGACAGCAGAGGAGGCAGAGAAGAACCCAGTGGGCCTGGCCCGCAATGAACCTGACCCCCTAGAGAAACCCAAGTGAGTGCCCTGCCGGCCCAGCCCCTCCCCACTCTGGCTCTTGGAGGCGCTGGAACAGGAAGGAGACGATCCCCAGACACCCCATCTCTTCCTGGGCCACAGCCTCATTACAGGGGAGCCTCCTCCCTGCCCTCTGCCAACCCTGAATCCCACAACGTCCCTTTGAACCAGAGGATGGGCTAGGAATACTGGAGAGCAGGACCTTCCCTGGGAAAGGCCCCATCTAGCGGAGAGAAACTATGCTCTTCCCTTCCTAGCTTTTGCAGAAGAGCCAGCTCCAGTGGTGGCCTCTGGGGCCATGGCCAGCCTTGATGGCCAGAGGGGTGCCTAGAACTGCACACACAGCCCAGGACAGCTTCCCTCTTGGTCTTGGCCCCTCGCCACACCCAATCCCTTCTCCTCCCTGTCCCTCCTCTGCGCTCTCTACCCTTCATACTCCAGCCGGCCCGACACGAGCTTCATCTGGTTCCTGAACCCTCTCAAGTCGGCTCGCTACTTCTTGTGGCACACGTATCGCTGGCTGCTCCTCAAACTGTTGCTGCTCCTGCTGCTGCTCCTCCTCCTCGCCCTGTTCCTCTACTCTGTGCCTGGCTACCTGGTCAAGAAAATCCTCGGGGCCTGAGCCCAGTGGCCTCCTGGGTCTGATATTTCTTACTTCTTCCTCTGGACCAAGGGCTAGGCAGGCGCGTGCACACACACACATATACACGCACACATCCACAAACACAAATATGCATACATGTGCACACAAACACACACAAGCATGTATGCACACATGTGCCACGCACAAGTGCATACACATGCACTCAAGCACACACAGGCACACACTTAAGCCCACACAAACATGCACAGCAACTTTCAAGCTTTCATGACAGAATAGACTCTCAGAACTAGAAATGACTATTTTACACTTTTCCACATTAAGCCAAAGAGGTGAAGTAGCTTGCTCAAGGTTACCCAGCAAATTAGGGTAGAGCCGGGACTCAAGCCAAGGTTTCCAAATTTCCAATCCTGTGTTCTTTGCACACCACCTCTGCTCCCAGCCATGTTTCTCCCAGACTGTAACCCAATTTTTTTTTTTTTTTTTTTTTTTTGGAGACAGAGTCTCGCTCTGTCGCCCAGGCTAGAGTGCAGTGGCACAATCTTGGCTCACTGCCAGCTCCGCCTCCCGGGTTCACGCCATTCTCCTGCCTCAGCCTCCTGAGTAGCTGGGACTACAGGCACCCGCCACCACGCCTGGATAATTTTTTGTATTTTTAGTAGAGACGGGGTTTCACTGTGTTAGCCAGGATGGTCTCGATCTCCTGACCTCGTGATCCGCCCATCTCGGCCTCCCAAAGTGCTGGGATTACAGGCGTGAGCCACCGCGCCCAGCCGACTCTAACCCAATTTCATTGGCAGAAAGAAGCTGAGCTATGGACAGGGAAAAGGGAAGGGTGTGGCCAGGGTTAGCCAACAGGTCTGGAAATGGCTCTCACCCGTGTGTGACCTCCCAGTCCAGGGCTGTTGTTTTCTGCCCTTCAGGATAATAATTCCATTCAACTCAAACATTTCATAGCCACCATGGCCTGAACACCCAACTGCAGGTGCTCAGAGCTCCCCAGGCACTGGCTCACTGTGCCATTGCGCCAAACCCAGGAGGTAGGTACTGCTTGTAACCCCATTTTATACATGAAGAAACCGAGGTTGATAGAGGTGCCTCACTTGCCTGTGAAAACCATTCAAAACCAGGTGCCCTGCACCCAAGCCCCGGCTCTGTGTCCCCACCAATACTGAGCTCAGCTCTGGGGCTGCACGCCATGTCCTCTGGGAGGCAGTAGTTTGAAAATGCATATGCAGTACTTTCACTTGTATCTTGACATTTTACAAAACCTATTGTTTTTATAACACAAACGACAGATAGTGAGGCTGGCCAGGTGCTTCTCGGCTGGGAGGCTCTACAGAAGGTGGAGTGGGTCTTCATCCTGAGAGTGGGCAGGTCGGTGAGGGCAGCTTGCACCCCACAGGGGCTGCTCAGACCCTCAGCAGGGCCCGGTGGGAACAGCCATTTATGTCCATCAGAAAGGAAGAGGTTGTGAAGCACCAGTCTTACCAAGGACGTGGGGCAGCACATAGAACGAGCTAACCGCAGGAGCTTCCTAACGATGAGAACTGCCTGCAGGGCCAAGGCTGCCCCATGCTGCAAGTAGCTCCCATCTAGGCCTTAGGAGGAGATTCGGGCCCCAAAGGTGCTGCAGGGAGGATAGAGTTTTGTAAGCAGCAAGTCGGGTACTTAGAAATGGGTTTAAACCCTGGCTCCAGCATTCACTGCTTTTGGGGCTGGGGCCATGGCAGGGCTTTTGGGGGTCCAGAAGGACAGAGGATGGGGTGCACTGGGAGGCAGCTCCTGCCCACTGGCTGACCGGCTCCTCTCTTCCACTTCCCAGCCGGCCCGACACGGCCTTCGTCTGGTTCCTCAACCCTCTCAAGTCCATCAAGTACCTCATCTGCACCCGGTACAAGTGGCTCATCATCAAGATCGTGCTGGCGCTGTTGGGGCTGCTCATGTTGGGGCTCTTCCTCTACAGCCTCCCTGGCTACATGGTCAAAAAGCTCCTTGGGGCATGAAGGCCGCCAGCTCCCGCCAGCCGCTCCCCAGCCCTGCCGCATTTCCTTTCAGTGGCTTGGACTCTTTCCCATCTCCCCTGGGGAGCCTGAGGAGCCCAGCGTCCACTCTTCATGCCTTGGGCCGAGCCTGCCTCCTGCTTGCGGGGGCCGCCTGTCCTCACTGCCCCAGGCTGCGGCTTGCCCAGTCCCGCCCCTCTGACCCCTGCCTGTGGGCTGGGGAGCCTTGGATGGGGTGGGGACCTGGAATGGGTCTCTCTTGCCCCACCTGGCTGAGGCGCCACCCTTCTTCAGGCCCAGGCTCCAGAGGAAGACTCCTGAAACCCTCCCCAGGTCTTCCAAGTACAGGATTGAAGCTTTAGTGAAATTAACCAAGGACCATGGGTCAGTGCCCAGGGCTTTAAAAAGAATGAACGAGCAAAAGGTATCCCCGCCGTGACCCCTGCAGATAGCACCGGTCTTTGATCCGCAGCAGGGGCCAGACCCTGCCCACAAGTCCCAGCGCGGCTGCTTCTGCCACTGCTGGGCTCCACTTGGCTCCTCTCACTTCCCAGGGGGTCGCCTGTCCTGCCTGTGGGTTTCCATGGCTTCCCAGAGCTCCCTCTGCCCCAGCCAGCGCCTCCAGGCCCAGCTGAGGAGCTGTGAGAAGCAGCAGAGGGGACTCCCCATCCCGGGCACACCCTGTCCTCCCACCCCTGCCCCCTTGCCCTTCCAGCCCTTTCAGCTGCAGCTGGGAGCTGGCCCGTCAAGTGCTGCCCCTGCCTGTGTCTGGGTTTCTGTTGGCTGTTTTTCTTTTCTTGAGTGGTGATTTTTCTCTAAATAAAAGAAGTCAAGCACTGAGCTGACAGGTCTGCACTGGTCAAGCTGAGAGGAGCAGCCGCAGGTGCGGGGCAGAGGCAGCAGTTCTCTAGGCTGGCAGATTCAGTACCAGCAGGGCTCCCATGGCCTTTCCCCTTCAAGTGGCCTCTGGTGGCCCAGGGTTCAAGGCAGGCCTCAGGCACAGGGCTGCCCACCCAGGCTGCCCACAGGAGGAGTCTTACACCATAGCCCAAAGGGCACACCAGCCTGGGCCCAGGGGCCCCCAAAGCACCGAAAGAATCCTTCAGGTCTGGGGCCAGTCTGAAGGCTTAAGGCCCCACAAGGGCCCAAAAGCTCTAGCCTCCACCCACAGAAACCAGTTCCCCTGAAAGCAAGAAAGGAGCCCCACGCTACTGGCCTCGGCCTCTGACTCACACCACTATCTGAGCCTGGGGCAAAGTCCCCTCATGACACAGAGGTAGGGGCAAGGGCCTGGTCTTGCTAGACCTGACCTCTTTAAAGAGATTCAGCCACAACTTTAAAAGGCTTTAATCATAATGCAGGACACAGGTAACTCCTCTGGCTCCTTATTTCGACAGGCTATAAAGACAGCCCTGGAAAATCCAGAGAGCAGGCCCAGGTGCGGCCCAGTGGGTGATATGAGCTGGCTCCGGCACAGACACCAGCATCAGGCCAGCCCTAACACATCAGCCTTTGGCGGTCCAGCTCATTTTGTGGGTACCCGCAACACCTGAGTGGGAGGAACTTGCAGTTCAGAGTTGATCTGGAAAAGAAAGGGTGAAAGTCGTTACATTTTTCCCAGGGCCCTCCTTCTTTGCCACCCTTGCGAGCCACGCTGGCTCTCCCATGGGCCTCCAAAGCCCTGCACGCATCTCCTCTCCAAAGCTGAGAGATGCTGAACACCCACAGACTGCCTCCCTGCAGGAGACACGCCTGAGCCTTCTTGCTCAGCTTCTGCTCCAGCTGTGACCTCTGGTAGCGTTCTTCATCTCCCGCCCGTCCATTCTCTGCAGTCTTCCCCTCTCCTCTCTCCACGCACCCATGCCATCCCCAATCTAGCCTGCCCCACCTCTTCCTCCCCCAGCCTCTTGTATACAGTAGCATCTGTGGAAGCGGGAACCATACCGTCCAGAATGTCTGGGTCCTGTCACAGGCCAAGGGTCATTATGAGGCCAAGGTTCACTACAACATCCCACTTTCAGCTGTGGCCTGGGACCTGGGACTGTGCTGGGGCCACGCAGCCCCTGTGGCTGGACTTGGAGCTGGCCTCAGTCACCTCACACGTGTGCAACTAACAGCTGCGTCACGACCTTCCTGGCCTACAGCCCCAGCTGCAGGTGCCCACACCCGCAGAGCAGGAAATGTCAGCAATGGACTTTTTCCTTCCTCCTCTTGCCAGGCCATGGGGAAGTTGTCCACAACTATTGCAGGGTTGGGCACAGATGGGGGCCAGGGAATATCTGCCCCAGCAGAGCCTCCTTCCCCATGCGAGGATGACCCTCCAGTCATATCCCAGGCAGGGAACCGGGGCTGGTGGGTGGAAAGAGCCCAGGCTCTGGACGAGTTGCAAACTCTGCAAGTTGTGATTGTCCTTTGTGTGAAATGAGGAGCATTGTTTCCGCCCTGTCCACCTCACACAGCGGGTGTGAGGATGGAAGAAGAGAGCACAGCTGGAGGCTCTGTAGCTGGGGAGCTGCTCCTGGCTGTGGCACTGCTTCACACAGAGCAGTCCCAGCTGGCCACTGGCACCAGAAACCACAGTATCAAAGAGACACTGTCACACCTGAGCTGTCCTGGAGGAGACTTCAGGCAAGATCTACTCCTTTGGCCAGTAGTTGTCTCAAGGTGCCACTCTTGATTTTTTACATCATATCACAAAGCTCCCTTGCCTCTGACGGGGAGGGGACTCCTCGTTCCCTAATCCCAGCTCCAGTGCCCCTGCCCCACCCGTGTCTCCCGCTGCCCCTCCTTGGAAGGCCCCGCCGCCCACCTTGGAGTTCAGATACTGCTGCAGTAGCGCCTGCAGCTCTGTGTTCTGCTGCTCCAGAGAACTGTTTTCCAGCAGCAGCTTGGCCCTCTGGGTCAGGACAAGGCTTTGGACAGAAAAATCGGTTAGAGGCTCACTGAATCCTCCATCCTCTGCCAAGTAGGGGCCAGGGTCTTGGTGGTTGTACTTTGGCTACAGGTGGAGGGAGACTCCAGAAGCTACACTCTTCACCCAGCCGCCAGGTGAGCCAGGTTAGCAGGAACAGAACAGGCAGGCCAGGGCCCAAGAGCCAACTGCCCCACATGATCCACCCACACAGGAGATGCCAAGGGCAGCTCTTCCCTCCCAGGTTCAGTGGGACAGGGAGGCAGCAAACGCGGCTGCTCCCAACAACCGTTCCTCACCTGCCCGCCAGCACCCTCCTGCTCCATGACATGCACACTTACTGGTACTTCTCCAAGGCTGTGTAGAGGGCATCCCAGAGGTTCTGCTTGGAGGAAGGGATCACTGTGGTCAGGGCCTGCCAGTACTCCGAGTCCTTGGAGTTGTCACGCACATTCTTCTGTACCCTCAGCGGGGCCCGCGAGTCCCTGAAGGCCAAGAGCACAGTGATTGTCATGTCCATTGGGTACTACCCAGGCCCCCAGGCAGTGCCAGTCACAGGCCTACTGCTTTCCCACCTGTCACCTTCCCACTCAGCAGTCCAAGTTTATTAGACGGTGGCAGGTTCTCAGAAAGGACGCATGCTTATTGTCAACGTTCCTGCCTCGGTACCACCGGTACCTTCGTGAGGGCATAATCCGTGCTTCATCCACCCCTCTCTCTCCCAATCAGTTTACCTCACTGGCTTTACAGCTCATCACTGTGCCCATCTCTTGCACCAACACATCCAAAACAGCACTTGAATTCAGTCATGTCCTCTCCATCCCCTCATGACAGCCTTAATCTGGGGGATCCTCACCTCCCACCTGGACAAGCCTCCTGATGCTTTCCCTGTATCCAGCTTCGCCCCTTCCCTGACGCCACAATGATCTCTCTAAAACGCAAGGCTAATCATGGCTCTTCGGCTGCTTCAAATCCTTTTCTGGCTCCCACCCACCAACGGGTAAAGACAAAGATCTTGGGCACATTGGGCAAGGCTCTCCAAGACCTGGCTAGCTCCCCACCCACCAGTGCCACCTCCCAGGCCCTTGACACTCCAGCCAGACCTCCTGTGATGATTCTTGAACAGACCAGACCTTCCCCATGCTGTCATTTCCTGAAATGCCCTTACCTCCATTTTATCTGCCTGGGAACACCTAGTTCCAGTGCCATTTCCTCCCAAAACCCTCTGACATGCCAAATGGAAACGGCCACTTCCTCCTCTGAACAATGGTGCACCTTGAATGTGCTTTGACCATTACTCTGATCACAAGGCAGTGCCCCCACAGTGCTTACACATGGCAGCCTTCAGTGCATGTCTGCTGAATGAATGATGAGTGAAAAAAGCACAGATCACCACTATGCCCTATTGCTTTCCTGACTGTCCAGCGATTGGTTGCCCCAGCCCGCCTTCAGATAGCCCTGTCCTTAGTCCCCGCATCTTGCCCAGCAGACTCTTCTCCACTCACTGGCTCTGCCTGGCTCCCCAGCCCATCCAGCTCCCCTGGTTCTGGTCTCAGGCAAGCCTTCCAGCCCCGCAGCCCACCTAGGCTTCTTCAGACCCATGACGAAGGCCTCCAGAATCTTGAGGACATCATTGGGGTGGATGACCCAGGGGGAGGGTGGGGTCTCCTCCTCTTCCTCCTTCTCCCCTTCCACCAGGCTTTCTTCCTTTTCTCCCTCCATCTCCGTCTGCTCTGCCAGCTCCAATTCTGACCTCGTGCTTGTCTCCTCCATGCTCGCCTTCTCCATGCTCGCCTGACTGCAGGGCTTGATCTGGAGAAAGATGCACGGACAACTGTGGGCTGGGGACACACGAGCATGAGCATGGAGAGAGAGGCAGGAAGAAGAAAAACCAGAAAAGTTTACAGAAAGTGACAGCTTGCCCAGGGAGACATTTACACAGGGACAGAAACAGGAGAAAGAGTGGGAAGAAGGGGGATGGGATGGGGAGAGGCACTAGGAGGCTACGAGAAAATGGAAAGGTTCTGTTTCTAAATCCGGGCTCCTAGGTGCTCACCTTACTGACATTCATAAAGCTTACATGTTAGAAATCTTCTTTTGAATCATAATACAGATTAAATTTTTGCTTTAATTGTTAAATTTAAAAGGTCTTCCTCCTACTCCTATTTTGCAGTTCATGCAATTGACCTCCCACAGGCAAACGAATGCTATCAAGTTTCCTATGGTTCCTTCCAAGGAAATAGTATGTCTATATAATGTTTATATATAAATACATGCGCATACCTTTCCATATATACTCCTCCTTCTCGTTTTGACATCAATGATACTATACTACAAATAGAGTTCTGTAGTTTGCTTTTACACTTACCAATAAACCTTAGGTACCTTTTCATGTGAATACATAAAGAACTTTGGTTTTTTCCCACAGTTTTATAGTACCCCATCGTGTAGACATACCATATATTATTAAATAGATTCCTCAACAATGGACATATAGGTTGTTTCGAATCTTCTGCCATTTCAAACAATGTACAGTGAATCAGCTACAATAAATACACCATTTCAACTGTAATGAGATATATTTAGAGAATAAAATCCTAGAAGAAGAATTTCAGAGGCCAAGGTGGGCAGATCATTTGAGGTCAGGAGTTCGAGAGCAGCCTGGCCAACATGGTGAAACCACATCTCTACTAAAAATACAAAAATTAGCCGGGCGTGGTGGCAGGTGCCTGTAATCAATCCCAGCTACTCAGGAGGCTGAGGCAGGAGAATGGCTTGAACCTGGGAGATGGAGGTTGTAGTGAGCCGAGATCGTGCCACTGCACTCCAGCCTGGGCAACAGAGTGAGACTCTGTCTCAAAAAAAAGAAGAAGAATTTCAGAGTAAAATGTATATAGTTTTGTAATTGATACTGCCAAACTGTCCTCAATGGAGGTTACAATTTATACTCCTACCAGTAACTTATGAGTGTGCCTGTTTTCTACACCTCAGTCATCGCTATGTTATACTTGCTGTGTTATCAAGCTTTTTTTTTTTTTGCGCCAACATAACAGGTTGGCAAAATGGAAATCAGCCATTTTAATTTGCATTTCTCTTATTACAAGGAAGGCTGATTGTCTTTTCATATGTTTAAGAGTTACCTGTATTGCCTCTTCTAGGAGTTGTTCATTCATATTTGTTATCTGTTCCTTTTGTTGGTCTTTTTCTTATTGATTTCAGAGAGCTCTTTATATATTAAGGAAATGCCTTAACTATGATATGAGTTGAAAATATTTCTCTGCAGCTTGTCATTCATCTCTTAACTTTGCTTATCATGATTTTTGCACTACAGAATTGTTTTTAAATTCTGTAGTCAAATATAGCTTTTATTCCCTTTATGGCTTTGTGGTTTTGTCCATTTCTGCCAGCTCTTTTTTTCTTTTCTCTTTTTTTTCCCTTAGAGACAGTGTCTCACACTCTGTCACCCAGGCTGAAATGCAGTGGTGAAATCATGGCTCACTGCAGCCTCAACC